>NC_000003.12:129463149-129614664 GCF_000001405.40 Homo sapiens | reverse complement strand
CTCGGCACACAGCAAGTGCTTGGTCGGAGTGGGCTCTCAGAATCGTGCAGCTGGTCCGAGGTGGGGCCATGTCTAGGGTCTGCAGCTTGCATACTCGTGACAGGCACTCACCCTGCTGCAGGCAGCCCTTCCTTCTCCAGACCCAGCAGCAGTTTCAAAAGATGAGTGGGGCCTTGTCAGTCCCCACTGAGTTGGCTGGAACCAAGTGGTGAGGTTGGGGCCACTGGAAGGGAAAGGCCTGGTCGGGAAGCAGGCTCACCTGGATTTTAGCTCACACCTGCCCGGCCTCCCTGAGGCTTCCAAGGATGGCTTCATTCCCAGCCAGGTCTCTCAGGAAGCATGGAAGGTGAGAAAACAGTTCTCAGAAGTTTACTGGGGCATAAAGGGAGCCAGGAAGCCTTACAGGGTGGAAACGGGTCTGAAGTGGGGTGTATGTGCCAGCCCAAGACTTAAGAGAACCCCTTGGGGCCCATTGGCACTGGGGCCTGGGGCCATGGAGACTCAAGTTCATTAAGAACAGGACTCAGGCCGGGTGCGGTGGCTCACACCTGTAATCCCAGCACTTTGGGAGGCCGAGGCAGGCAGATCACGAGGTCAGGAGTTCGAAACCAGCCTGACCAACATGGCAAAACCCTGTCTCTACTAAAAATACAAAAATTAGTCGGGCGTGGTGGTGTGTGCCTGTAATCCCAGCTACTCGGGAGGCTGAGGCAGGAGAATCGCTTGCACCCAGGAGGCAGAGGTTGCAGAGCTGAGATCGCACCACTTAACTCCAGCCTGGGCGACAGAGTAAGACCCCGTCTCAAAAAAAAAAAAAAAAAAAAAGAACAAGGAATCTGGAATCCAGGTTCTACCACGTACTAGCTGGTGACCTCAGGCAAGTCACCTCACCTCCTGCCTCAGTTTCCCTACCTGTAAATAGGTATGTTCACGGTAGGGTTATTGTGAGGTTTAAATACATTAATATATGCAAGGTGTTTAGAACTGGGCCTAGCCCATAGAAGGGCACTAGAAGTGTCCGTTGTTTTGGTACCTGCTATGAAGCATAAGCTCATGCACTTGCTCTGCAGGGGTGGGGGTCGGGGGGCACTGAGGAGGCTGAGGTACCTGGGGGAGCACCCACTAAGTGACAGACTCCAGGGAGCCACTGAGGAAAGACCCAGCCCCTGCTGTCAGCAAAGACCAAACTTGATCAGCCAACTCTATTGGAAGCCAGAGGCCTCATCTCATTTTGCAGAAGAGGAAATTGAGGTCCAGAGGAGGGTGCAGGTCTGGAGGGGGCAGGAAGGGTCTTGATGTGAAGCCCTGACGGGGGCGGGGGCAGAAGAGCTGGCCTGTGTGCATCTGATAAAACACGAGCCAGGCCTGCTCCGTCCATCCCGAGGGCAGGGCAGGGAAGCACTGGGAAGTCAGAGCTGGGGGATAGTGGGAGCAGCAACGCCTCCCCCTCCAATGATTGGAAGCAAATGTCACTGACTATTTGCCATGAGTCAGGGGCTGGCTAAATGTCCTACAGGGATGACCTCATTTCATCCCCACAGTCTGCAGAGGCAGTGGCTGTCATACCCATTACACAGGTGTGGGAATGGAGGCCTGGAGTGGGGAAGAGACTCACCTGTCACACAGGCAGCACGAGGCTGGGATCTGAACCCAGATCCAGGGCCACAGGATGATGACTCCACAGCCTCGACTGGGGTGCCACCTGCCCCTCACTGGGCTCCACCCCTGGAGAACAGGGAACAGCCAGACCTCAGTGAAAATCCCAGCTCCAACTTGGGCGGCTCGGTGGCCCCAGGCAAGTTGCTTCCTGTGGGGCCTCAGTCCCCTCCTCTGTAGGTGGGCCTCACAGTCCCTCCCTTGTGAAGACGGCCTTCATCCTGGATTCTCAGTGACGTTGTACACGGCCATAAGCCCGCCCCATGTGCTCCTGCTGGCCTGGCTGTCTGATCTGCCCCTGTGTATTCCCTCAGCCCTCCTGCCACGGGGTGTGGTCACTGTTGTGTCCCTAAGGCAAACAGTAGGTTCTCACTCAACATCCACTGGATTAGTCATGGTCAGACAGACACCGGTTCAAATCCAGGACCAGGGCCTCATCTCCTGAGCCTCAATTTATGCACCTATCAAATGGGGTCAGCAGCACAGCTGTTTGATGGCTTTTATAAGGACTGGCTGGCAAATGTTTAACACACAGAAGGTGCTCAACCCACACAACGCCCAGTCCTCATCAGCCCTCGGCTTTCCCTGCTCCTTGTAGCTCCTGTCATTGGGGATGTGGTCATTAAGCACCTACTGTCTGTGCAGGGAGCGCCTGCCTCCCAGCCCACTCAGGCGGTTGTCGCCTGGAGATGGCAGCCAGGGAATGTGGGTGGGGGCCCCCGCGGCGGCCCTGCCCCTCTGAGGCTTCTGCTGGACAGAGGCCTCAGTGTGGAGCTGCCCGGGTCCTTTCACGGGCCCAGACCCATGACTGGACGTCTGAGAATGCCGCCCATTATCCAACTCACAGAGCACAAAGGGGCCATGCGGGGGCTCGGCAGGCCAGGCGCCCCCAGTGAGCACACGGGGCTCCGGGTCCCCACCCCGGCCCATGAGTCCCCTGAGCACAGAGGGCAAGGACCTGCCCAGAGTCGGGAGAGGGCGTCGTTCACATGCAGGAATGAGAACCATTTCCTCCAGCCCCACGGGGACACAGAGATGAGAGGAACCACCCTGGGGGCTGGGTTTGAGGGCCAGGGCAGGCCATCGCTCCTGGGCCCGGAAACCAGACCTGGAAGGTCGCCTCCTCCTCCAGAAGAGGCAGAGAGGGAACACTTCAGGGGCCAGGAGGGGCCCCTAGAATGTGAAGGGTGGCAAAGCCTCGAGGTTTCCCCAGTGGCATCCACAGTGGAGAAGCCACAGCACTGCTGTCTGGAAACACGGTCAAGAGGGGTACTGTCTCCTGTCGGTGCCACCACTGGAGGGTCAGCCCGCCCCTCCCGAGCCACACTAGTGGGGCACGATGGCAAAGACAGGAGATGCAGTGTGGAGGGGCAGCGGGGCAGGGCTCACTTTGCCACCTGTTTGCTGTGTGACCTCGGGTGGGCCTCTAGGCCTCTCTGAGCCTTAAGTGTCTGTGCTCAGGAGGAGAGGGGAAGGAATGATCACGCAGGCCCTCGAGACCCTTGGGTGGGTGATTAAAGGAGGTGATCTCCCTGATAATCATCATCTGGGTGGAGGGAGCCCTCCTGAGGGGTTCAGAGGATAGGCTGGAGAAGCCCACATGGGAGCTGAGGCTCTAGGGCAGGAAGTCAGCAGACTTCACACTTCATGATGACACACACATGCCCCATCCTCACAGCGGCCCACGGAGGCAGATCATGCTCCTCTTTCCAGATACGGAAACTGAGGACCAAGAAGCAGTGGCGCCGCCGTGGTCATGCAGATGGTTAGGGTCAGGCCTCTCAGCCCCAAGCAAGGGGCGCAGGGATGCAGCGGCTGAGAGCAGGGCCTGGACGCCTGGAGGCTGTGCAGCTGCAGGCCAGTGGCACACCACTCTGACCTTAAGTGTCCCCATCTGCAAAAGTGGGTTGATCAAAGGTCCATCAATGATAGACTGGATTAAGAAAATGTGGCACATATACACCATGGAATACTATGCAGCCATAAAAAAGGATGAGTTCATGTCCTTTGTAGGGACATGGATGAAGCTGGAAACCATCATTCTGAGCAAACTATCGCAAGGACAGAAAACCAACACTGCATGTTCTCACTCATAGGTGGGAACTGAACAATGAGAACACTTGGACACAGGATGGGGAATATCACACACTGGGGCCTGTCGTGGGGTGGGGGGAGGGGGAGGGATAGCATTAGGAGATATACCTAATGTAAATGACGAGTTAATAGGTGCGGCACACCAACATGGCACCTGTATACAAACGTAACAAACCTGCACGTTGTGCACATGTACCCTAGAACTTAAAGTATAATTTAAAAAAAAGGGGGGTTGCTAAGACCCCCCCCGCAGGGTTGCTCCCACGGGGAAATGAGACGGGTCCAGCCCCCGAGAAGCAGCAGTGATGGCTCCCGGCACCACCTAGGCCCATGGCTGGATTGCCAAGCCGTCCCTAGGACTCTTGTTTCCAGCACCTTCCTGTGGCTGAGGCGGTGCTCTAAAGCATTAACCTTGCAGGGGCATTTCCTGCAAGGAAACGTTCTCAGAGGCCAGGCCCAAGGGACGGGAGGGCAGGAGCCCCCTCCTCCCAGCGCAACCCTGGCCCCACTGTTATTTTTTCCAATTGAAGAAGAAAAACATTTCCTCTGTCTCCTCACAGCTCTGCCCTGGGCAGTCAGAGGTGAGAATGGACAGGACAGGGTGGGAAGCCCACCCAGTGGGGTGGAAGGCCCAGGCCCGCCTTCTCCGAGCCAGCATAGCCGTTGACCACCGTGCCCCAAGCAAGACTGCCCTGACTCGGCCACCAGGTCCTCGTCTTCAAAGGCACTGCTGGACATTTCCCAAATTTCAGGCATTTTGGTGGCATCTGGATTATCACCTATTTCACATTTGTCTTTAACTCACTTTTAAAGGACTTCAATCAATGCATTTATCAAGGAAGCTTTACATCATTACTGTACATGGAAAACCAGTAGCACTTGCCAAAACCAGAAAGTAACGGCAAGTACAAAGAAAACAAAGCGCTATCAGTACATTCTAGCACGCTGATGTCAACAGCCCTGAGTTTGAGACCTTCTCTCTATTAAAAAGAGACAGTGACAAATGTTACAGTCATTAAAGACATGTTAGCCTCAAACCAAGACCTTTTCCTTGATATAATCAGACTTGAACAAAAACTGAAAAAGGCCCAAATTGCAGTGTGAATAACCAACTAGGTCTGGCTATTCTGGGTTAGTTCATTCCAAGTTAGTTATTGCTGGGTCCCACCTAATCCCCACTCCTGAGTACCTTTCATCTCCCCTTGGTTCCCTCCAAAATTCCCTCTGGAAGAACACCTCATTGCATCTTAGTAAGGCCAGGGAAGGTGTGGTTTGTTCCTTCCTTTATTCATTCATTCAGCCAGTAATTGTCAGCACCTCCTCTGCCCAGCCAGGGGTATAGGGGCTGCCACCATGAGCCATCCTGGCCTGATGGTGCTCCCAGCTAATGGGTAGAAGGGAGAAATCATAAGATGTGGAGCCAGATCTGGGTTTCAATCCTTACCTTGCTAATGCCCCTCAGTTTCCCCATCTGTGAAATGGGTTTGCTGACCACAGCCTAGTCAGCTGGCTGCAAGGATGGTGTAAGATCTGGTAGGGCAGTGCTGGGCACAGGATTCACTCTCACCGTCTGGTGGCTCTGCTAGCCACATTGGGGCTCAGGACAGGAGGTGGAGCCCTGGTCTTTAGTTGCAATGCCCCCCACCCCAACTCCTGGCTCTAACATGGGCTTCAGGGGTCATGGTTCACTGCCACAAGGCGGGGAGAAACTGGTGTTTGCTAAGAGCCTTGTTGTGCTTGACACCTGTTATGTTATATTCTCCATCTCACACCCTCCCAGGGGCAGGTGTTCTGCTACGATTGTCCTCATTTTACAGTTGAGGAAACTGAGGCTCAGAGAGGGTGAGTGCCTTGCACAAGACCACACAGCACTTCTCACCTCCAGTTGATGTGAGGATACTCAGACCCGAATACCCTTCACCTAGAGAGCTCCTAAACCCCACTGCTCAGCTTGGCAGGGAGCTTGTGTCCCAAGTGCCCAGGATCATCACCACAGGCTGGTCTAAGACAACACTGAGCATTATCCTCACGGCTCAGTGGGGGGAGCTGCAGGATGCAGCAAGATGAACCAGATGAGCGGGAGACAGGAAGGAAGAGAGGAGGGGCTGGAGAGGGAGTGGGGGTGAGGGATAGGGAGGGAGACAGAGAGAGAGACAGAGATAGAGACACAGAGAGACAGATGAAGAGTGGAAAGGGAAGGGGGCAAGACACTGAGAGAAGGAGAGACAAAGAGAGTGAACGGGAGGAGCAAGACAGATAGGAACAGAGATGGGTGGGGGCAGGAGAGAGAGAGATAAGACAGAGAGACCAGCGGATGGACTGGGGTGGGGGCACTGAGGATGTGAGTGAGGAGGAGGGGCATGGAGGCAGGCCCCATGCACCCCTGCTGGGCTCTGCAGTTGGCCCCCACGGGTGGCACGATGTGCGCCTTCTCCATCCAGAGAGGAAGACAGGGACACAGTCCCACGGGCAGTCCCCTGAGTGGCTCTTGGTGGGTGGATGGGCCTGGGAGGGGGCCTCCAATTTCCTGCAGCTCAACACTCCCGGCCATCAAAGCAGTGGCCAGACCAGGGCTGAGGGGTCTGGAACAAGGCGGGCAGGATGGCAGGAAGGCGAGGGTGTTGAGGGAAGTGGGGGGCGGCTGCAGGCCCAGCCTTTCCTGCCGGCCCCATGGTGCACAGACACCCCTGCCCTTCCTTCCTGGTTGGGTGGGAAAGAGGAAAATGAGGTCCCGCTACTCTCAGAGTGAGGCCCACCGGGCACCCTGTGGAAGCTGGGGGTCTGATGGGAGGCCCCGTTCTGAGAGGTCGGAGCTGAAGGGCTTTTGCTTTCAAACACTGTAGCTCTGCTCCTCATGAGCTGTGCATCTTGGGCCAGTCCCTTCCCCTCAGCCTTGGTTTCCATATCTGGAAGATGGGTTACCAATAGCGCTCGCCTCGGGGGAATCTGTGAGGAAAAAGAGAGCCCGTACATGGCAAGTGCTTGGCACAGTGTCTGGCACGGGCTAGCCCTGTGTGAGCACCCCCGCAAAACAGCCACGGCGCATGGTCCTCACAGGGCTGTGACCTTGGAACCAGGCTGCCTGCCCCTAACGCTGCTTTTGAGATCAAGAACCCTGCCCAGTGCCGGCTTTTGTGGGACTAATCTTCCACTAAGCCTGGGAGGATGTCAGGGAAAGTGCCTGGCGGGGGTGCCAGGGGTGGGGGTGCGGCTGGGTCTCCACAGGAGGCAACTGTGGGCTCCAGGACCAAGGCCTTGCTCTGGCTATCGGTTGTGGGCCACTGGCTGGAACTATTTCCTCTCTCCATGTTTTCCTCATTTATATATCTGACCCTGAGCACTGGTCCCTCTGGCCCTGCCACTTGTAAATCCCTTTTATGGGTCTGGGGTTTGGGGGACAGATTATGGGGTCTGGGGGGCCCGACTGGCCGGCACCGGGGGAGCGAAGGCCTGGACAGTGCCTGAGAAAGGTGGTGGAGGGAGGCTGAGTGTGGAGGGGAGACACAGGGTTCGGGAAGGCAGAGGGAGAAGGAAAGGGGAGCTCAGAGGGACCGAGAGAGGGACGGAGGGTCCGAGGGGGAGGCAGAGGGAGCCACGGAGAGAGGGAGCGAGCGTCAGGGACGGAAAAACGGAGCAGGAGAGAGAAGGAGACTAGAAAGGGCCGGGGGCGGGGCTGCCAGGGACTGGAGAGCGAAGCGGAGTCGGAGGGAGAAGGAGAAGCAGAGGCAGAACCCGGAGAAGCGCCACACGCGCGGAGTTTGGGGTGGGGACAGAGACGGAGAGACGCAGAGACCGAGAGACGCAGAGAGAGGGAGAGACGGGGTGGGGGAGAGGGCGGAAAAGAGAAAACAGGCGCGAGCGAGGCAGGCCAAGCGGCCAAGTGGGAGGAAAGAGCGAGGAGAGCGAGCGACGGCGGCGGCGGCTACGGGGAGGGACCCTGGGGCCGCGGGCGGGTCCTGGAGGGCGCGGGCGGCGGGACCCGCGGACGGCGGGGCGTGGCCCAGGGCGGCCAGGGGCAGGCGGGGGTCCCGGGGGCGGGCGGGGCCGGGGCGGGGAGTGAGGGCGTGTCCGCAGCGGAGCCGCCCCCGCCCCGCCCCCGGGCTGCGCGGCGAGGCTGACCCGGGCCCGGGCGCCGGGGTCGGGGGCGGCTGGCGCGGGCAGGAAGCGCATCGCGGCCCGGGCCCGCCCCCCGCCTCCCGCCGCCTCCGGGCTCCCGGCTCCCGGCCGCGCCTCGCCCCATGCACTCGCCGCGCCGCGCAGCCCGCGCACGCCCGGATGGCTCCTCGCGCCGCGGGCGGCGCACCCCTTAGCGCCCGGGCCGCCGCCGCCAGCCCCCCGCCGTTCCAGACGCCGCCGCGGTGCCCGGTGCCGCTGCTGTTGCTGCTGCTCCTGGGGGCGGCGCGGGCCGGCGCCCTGGAGATCCAGCGTCGGTTCCCCTCGCCCACGCCCACCAACAACTTCGCCCTGGACGGCGCGGCGGGGACCGTGTACCTGGCGGCCGTCAACCGCCTCTATCAGCTGTCGGGCGCCAACCTGAGCCTGGAGGCCGAGGCGGCCGTGGGCCCGGTGCCCGACAGCCCGCTGTGTCACGCTCCGCAGCTGCCGCAGGCCTCGTGCGAGCACCCGCGGCGCCTCACGGACAACTACAACAAGATCCTGCAGCTGGACCCCGGCCAGGGCCTGGTAGTCGTGTGCGGGTCCATCTACCAGGGCTTCTGCCAGCTGCGGCGCCGGGGCAACATCTCGGCCGTGGCCGTGCGCTTCCCGCCCGCCGCGCCGCCCGCCGAGCCCGTCACGGTGTTCCCCAGCATGCTGAACGTGGCGGCCAACCACCCGAACGCGTCCACCGTGGGGCTAGTTCTGCCTCCCGCCGCGGGCGCGGGGGGCAGCCGCCTGCTCGTGGGCGCCACGTACACCGGTTACGGCAGCTCCTTCTTCCCGCGCAACCGCAGCCTGGAGGACCACCGCTTCGAGAACACGCCCGAGATCGCCATCCGCTCCCTGGACACGCGCGGCGACCTGGCCAAGCTCTTCACCTTCGACCTCAACCCCTCCGACGACAACATCCTCAAGATCAAGCAGGGCGCCAAGGAGCAGCACAAGCTGGGCTTCGTGAGCGCCTTCCTGCACCCGTCCGACCCGCCGCCGGGTGCACAGTCCTACGCGTACCTGGCGCTCAACAGCGAGGCGCGCGCGGGCGACAAGGAGAGCCAGGCGCGGAGCCTGCTGGCGCGCATCTGCCTGCCCCACGGCGCCGGCGGCGACGCCAAGAAGCTCACCGAGTCCTACATCCAGTTGGGCTTGCAGTGCGCGGGCGGCGCGGGCCGCGGCGACCTCTACAGCCGCCTGGTGTCGGTCTTCCCAGCCCGGGAGCGGCTCTTTGCTGTCTTCGAGCGGCCCCAGGGGTCCCCCGCGGCCCGCGCTGCTCCGGCCGCACTCTGCGCCTTCCGCTTCGCCGACGTGCGAGCCGCCATCCGAGCTGCGCGCACCGCCTGCTTCGTGGAACCGGCGCCCGACGTGGTGGCGGTGCTCGACAGCGTGGTGCAGGGCACGGGACCGGCCTGTGAGCGCAAGCTCAACATCCAGGTACACCCGGGCGGTGGCGGCGGCGGCGGCGGCGGCGGCGGCGGGGGCGGGGGCGGGGGCGGGCGGGAACCGAGCGGGTCGTGAGCTGAGTGGGTCACAGGTGGGAGCGCGCAGAGATCCAGATGTACGTGGAACCCAGGTGTGCACGCGAGAATACAGGTGTCCCCCGAGGGGTACTACTGGCGCCTGTATGGCCCAGGTGGGCATGTGCAGGGACTCAAGTGAGTGCCGGCTCATGGGCGCGCATACCTAGGCGTACTGGGAGGGGTCCAAGTTGCCACAGGTACCCAGGTGCGCATAAAGCCCAGGTATGCACGTGAGGGTCACAGGTGCATGCTGAGGGCGCAGTAAGTGACTGCATGCCTGACCAAAGTTGTGTTCTGGGGCCACTGCGTGAGCCTGTCAGAGTTACCATTGCACGTTGGTGATGGGTGCATGGGTGTGGCAGGTGTGCAAGGAGGCACACAGGTGTGCACCAGGGCCCTGCAGATGTCTGCATGGACTTGTGTGCCAGCAAGCTGGGGCCTGAAGACGCACAGGGCAGACAGGTGTACTGCACAGACACTGGTACAACGGGACAGGGCTAGGTGTGCAGTGGGATGTGCGTGGCAGGGGACGCAGGTATTTGGGCATGAGTCGGTACTCTGAGGAGGCTGCATGGTTGGCAAACAGGTGTGTGCCTGAGGCCAACTTTTATTCACCTATTCTGCAAATATTTCCTGAGCACCTAGTATGTACCAGGTGTGGGAGTCTGGGGTAAACAATAGCACTTGTGGAGTGCCAGCTAGGGGCATCACATGTCACAATTCCCAGTTCTCAGAACAACCCTCTCAGGTAGCCTCTATTCTCATCACATTTTACAGATGAAGAAACAGGCACAGAGAGGTTAAGCAACTTGCTGAGGATCACACAGTTGGGCACTAGCAGAGGTGGATTTGAATCCAGCCTGTCTGGCCTCAGCATCTGTGTTTTTAATGCCCAGCCTTTGCTGCCTTCTGGACTTGGATCTCAGAGTGCGTGTGTTTTGGGGGCGTCCCAGGCAGCTGGGGTGGGCAGATGCCAGGGCCAGGAGAATGGAGGGATGTGAACAGGGGTGTTTTGGGGGCAGGAGAGGGCCGTGGGGCTCAGTGGGGAATGAGGAGGAGTACAGGCAGGCATGGGGCCCAGGTGTCTGAGGCTGGGTTGGGCAGTAGCAAGGGGGGCCAGGTTGACGGAATCAGCATGTGTGTTGACATGACAAGGGTGCGGGAGGGGACTTGGTGTGGTTCCCTGAAAGGAAGTTCATGGCAAGGGATTGCTCCTCACACTGGCTTTGGGAGCTGGGTCTGTTGATCCCCATAGTTCACCCTGAGGAATGAGGCCCCAGAATGACACTGGGGCCTTTCCCACACCCTCCACCCATCTGAGTCTGGCGAGCCCACTTCAGCTCCACTGCCTGCCATTCCCTTAGGAAGCTGCATCTCCATCAGCAAAATGCAGAACTCAGCCTTCTTGTGGTGACCCAAGCCTTCCTTGGGGCCCCACCCTGTCCCTTCTCCATGGCTGTGACAAGAATTTCATGAGATTAACCATTCCTCTGTGGGCGGGCCCAACACTGGGGCTTTGAGAAAATGCAGATTCCTTCTCCCAAGGTCGAGGTCGGTCTCCCACGACTGCCCACCATCTGGCCGGCCACCCTGAAAGTAAAGGTCACGGTGGGTGAGCAGGGCAGACAGTCCAAAGGGTGGTGGGGCTGCTTGCCCTGTGCCATGGTTGGTTCATCCACCATCTCCACCCCAGAGCTTCATCTCGCAGGCAACTGTGTTTGGCACTGGGGGTCTCAGTGGGGAGTCGCTGAATGGAGAGAAGTGTCCTGTGGACTGAGGGCCTTCCTCCAGTAGTTTCAGGCCCTGTGTCTCGGCCCTTTGGTGTAAGCTGATCTGTGGGATTCCTTAGGCCAGCCCAGGGTTCCCTCCCCCTCTGGCAAGAACCATTCTGGTTCCCACGGTCCGCTCCCTCGGTGCAGTGACTCACCCAGCTGAGGGGGGCTGGAGCTTCTCTACCTAAGGGGACAGGGCCTCTCCAGGGACACAGCCCCAGGACAGAGTGGCGAAGGGCCTCTTCCCCACCCCAAGGCCACAGATTCCGGCTGCGGCCTTCCTTGGTCACCCTCCCTGTGTTTTCCACACCCTTCTCCTCTTCGCCGTGCCCGCTGTGGGCACAGGCCAGTGCCACTTGGCAGTATCTCCCAGAGGTGCTCAAGGTCCCCGGTCTGGGCCTCTAGCATGGGCAGGGGTGGGGGAGGGATCATTATTCTTGCTCCAGGCTGTTGCCAGCTATGCAGCGACAGATTCAGAACCTAGACTTTGCATCAGGCTGCTTGGGTTCAAGTCCCACTTTGTCACTTCCCAGCTGTGTGACCTTGGCCAAGGAACTTAACCTCTCTGGGCCTCAGTTTCTTCATCTGTGAAGTGGGGACAGTAAAAGCAATCCTTATCCCAAAGCATTGTTTTAAGGACTAGATGAATCGATAAATGCAGCTCAGTGTACCCAGTACACAGTAAGCACCAAGCAGATGGCAGTTCTTCTTGTTATTACTCTAAGGGACATTATTAGCACAGGTCTCTGCTTGGTCCTGGAGAGCAGTTGCCTAATCTGGCTTGTTCTGCAGCTGTAAACACCCCACCATCTCCTACTTCTAGCCCCAGATGACACCTCCATAGACATTTACTAAGTCCCTATTGTGAGCCCAGTCCCATGCTGTGCCCTGGGGAGCCAATGGCAACTCACTTTGTTTCTACTCTTGTGGGCTGGGCAGGTGAGCCGAGGACGGATGTGTGACCAGGCCCTTATACACAGGGCAATGCGTGCCGCAAAGGGAGAATGAGGGTGGAGGGAGCCCAGCGGAGGGGGCGGAGGAGCAGGAGGAAGCCAGGTGAGGCCGGAGAAGAGGAAAGGCATCCAGGCAAAGGGAGCAGCCTGTGCGAAGGCTGTGAGCAGGCTCGAGGGGGTCTGCGTGGCCAGGCGAGTAGAGTGGGAAGCACATGACACAAGGGCCAGGGAGGCCTGGGGAGACCGTCCTTGGGAGTCTGGACTTTATCCTGGGGTCCTGGGAGCCATGAAGGGTTTTAGCCAGAGAAGTGGAGTGGTCTCAGCAGGCACCTGAGTCTCCCCGCTGCAGAAGGGGAATGCTCGTGAATACCTGCCTCTTAGGGCTGTTGGGGGTATTAAATGAGATCATTTATGTACCTGGCGCCTGTTTGCAATGACTACAATTCTTCTACCTATTATTTTAGAAAGCCCCTAGGTAGCTGGTGAGAAGGAGCAATGGAGGAGGGAGAGTGGCTGAGAGGCTGAGGCCGCCTCCCGGGAATAGATTCCTTCACTCAGTCGCAAATATATCTTGAGCACTTACTGTGTGCCAGGCTCTGTGGTGGGTGCCAGATGGCAGTGGGGAGATGGGGCCGGCCTTGTTCTCTGGAGACATGGCTGGCCTGGTCTGCAGCAGTGCTGAGGGCTTGGAGGGTGGCAGGTGGGCTCTGGACAGATTTGGGGGCTGGGATGCAGCCCCAGTGGTGGGGAGTGATGGGATGGAGGAGCAGAAAGCTGCCCAGAGTCAGGCTCAGCAACAGGATAGATGTTGGTACCCATGGGGTGGGGCATGTGATGGGGTACCTCTGGGGAAGAGGATGAGTTTGGTCTGGGGAGAACCAGGAGCCTAGAATCCTTTTTTCTCCTGGTCCCATCTGGCTGGATTTCTCTGTCACTGGCACTGGGTGGCCTGGGTGGGGCTGCACATGGGGCAGGACCCCAGGGCCGAATGACCTGCAAGTGGGGCAGCTCAGCCAGGCCTTTGGAAACCCAGCCTCTCGCTCCTGCTTGAGGGTCTCACGAAGAACCCTGGGCCCTGGCAGGAATCCCTTGAGCCGCCCACAACTCCAGAGCCTGGGTCAGGATGGCCTCCCGACATTCCGGGTTCCCAGCTGACAGGACTTGCCCTCTGCCCTCCACCTTCTTCCCGAGAACCCAAAGGGAGAAGCTGCTGAAGTGTGAGGCCAGAGGCAGAGAACCTCGGTCCCCGCAGCCCTCAGAAGTCCCCAAATTTGTCCCTGATTGTTTTCAACGTATTTGGGGCAGTTAAGATATTTTGAGAGAAACTGAGTGAAGAAATTAGCCTCCATTGCATGTAGCTTGGATCCCTTTCCTCAAATCACAACCTGTTTGGAGTGCAAGCCAGTTGGGAAGTTGTTGAGTGCCACTGATGGGGGAAACTGAGGCACAGCATCACCCAACAAGGTGGGGCAGACTGAGTCTACCTTCCTTCCCCAAGTCTTTCTCCCCAACCTATGAATGACCATAATATTTGTATTTTTAAAACAAAAGGAATACCGACAGGCCAATGTCAGTGCAGCATTTTCAAGGTGTCTTTTTATAGTAAAGGTGGAAAAAAAACCATCAGGCAGTTTTAAACTGGCATGCAGTGGGTGGGTGCACGTCGTCAAGAAGACATTTTTTTGCACCAATTTAGGGGCTGAGATGCCAGGTGGGGGCGGAGGGAGAGAGAGCTTCCAAGATGGGCTTTACATTTGGGTTTGGGCTGGGGGCTGGGAGTGATCTCCCAGTGACGAAGGGTGCAAGCAGAGACACTTGGCAGGATTTAGGAGAGGGGGTTCTAGGAGGATTGGCTGAGATGACCCTCTGGCCTGGAGAAACAGATAGGGCTTGGACCAGGAGACATCCCTCCCAGCCCTGAGAATGTCTCGACCCCCAGGTACATGGGCATACAGTCCATAAGCTGTGTGTCCCAGGGCCAGTCATTTACCCTCTCTGGGCCTCATTCTTTCTCATTATAAAACAGGTCTTATGCCTCCCTCCTAGGATGTGGGTAGATTAAAATCTCAGGGGTGTCTCTCTCAGCCTACTCTGGCTTAGGGGGCTGCCCATAATAAAAAATAAATACATAAAATAAAACCTCACATGCAGTGCCCAGGAAATGGCAGGCACAGGTATTAGTATCAAGAGGGAGAAAAGACACCAGAAAAAACTGGCCTCAGTGGACAGGGGATGCTCAGAGGAGGGAGGGTCAGGGCCTTGGAGGAGATGAGATCAAATAGGGCCTGAAGGCAGGCAGGGGTGGGTGAGACGCCTGGGTGCAGCAAGGGTGTGTTGGGTGCTGTCCCAGCCCCAGCACAGAGACTGAGATGGAGAGAATGGTCTCTAGTGCCCGGGCTGAGGAGTCCAGGGCAGCACTGTCTTGAAGGCAAGAGGCCTGTGGGCTCCTTGGAGTGAATAAAAACCGTCGCCGAGCTCGCGCTCTGCAGGCCTTTTATAAGCACCTACATGGTTGACCTCATGGCTGCCCCTCCCCTGGTCAGGCAGACAGTGCGTCATCATCATCCCCAGCTTACAGAAGGGGAAACTGAGGCCAAGAGAGGGGAAGTGACTTGCCCTGGCTCACACAGCTGGGGAGTGAGGGTCTGGATCCGCAGATAGAAGCAGGAGTCCTCTTCCTGGTGGCTGGTGAGCTGTGAGCTCTCCGTGGTGGGGAATTCTGCAGTTCCCCCTCTGGCTGGGCCATAGAGATTCAGGCAGGGCCCATTGTGATAGCAGTGACTCAGGCGGGCTGGGGCATCTGCAGAGGCCAGGCCACATGCTGGGGGATGGGGGCTGACCCAGCTTCCTGAGGAAGTCAGGGGAGGCAAGGAACTTCTAGTTGCATTTGTCTGAAAATGCGATCATCAGCCTCTGGAAGGAGTGAGCCCATGGCCCTTTGGGTGTGCAAATGAGAGATGTGGGTTCAATGGTCAGTGTGAATGATGGTCCACCCAGGAGGGTGAGTGGGGGATCTGTCAGCGCCCTGGATACGCCCACAGTGAGGCCTTCCACAGCCAGGCAGGCGCACATCGCTAGGTGAGTGCAGGACCCTGGGGCCAACTTCCCAGATTCAAATCCTGCCTCTGCCCCTTCCTAGCTGTGGAAAGTCCCATCCGTTCTTGGAGCCTCCATTTTCCCATCTATAAAGTGGGCTGAGCGCAGGGAAGACTGGAGTGGCCTGGCGGCATTCAGCAAGGGCCACGCGCATCGGGCCCGGCAGAAACGCCCTCTGCAAAGTCCGATTCACCCGCCTGTGACTCCCGGTCTCCATGGAGATTAAGGAAACCAGCTGGGTTCCATGTCCTGGTTGCTGCCGTGAACAAAGACGCGTGGCGTGTACTGGGACAGGAGCGGGAGGGCAGGAGCCCCGGGAGAGAGTGGTGCCTTCCCCTACCTGGGCCTCCGTTCTCCGACCCTGGAGTTGGCCCATGGAGTGGCAAGGAAGCCTTCCCTCTGACACCAGAACTGCCCCATCATGTCATAATTACTGTGGTTGTTGCTTGAGAACTTTCTCTGTGTTAGCCCTTTGCAGAGCACTTTACATATCTTTTAATCTCCCCAGAACCTGAATGACATGACTGTTATCCCCAGTCTATGGAAGGGGAAACAGAGGTCCAGAAGGGTTAAGCATCTTGCCTGAGGTCACACCGTGGTGTGTGACTGTGGTGCTCCAGGTGGAGCAGGCTTCTGGCTGTAGCGCCTGTGACCCCTCATTCCTCCAAAATCTTTGACCGAAGGGGTGTGAGCCAGAGGGTGTCGGAAGGGGTGAATGGGCCCATTTTAAAGGTGAGGAAACTGAGACCCAGGGAACTTCTGCGTCCGCCGAGGCCCCTGTGAGAAGCAGTGAGGGCCTTTCAGGGTGGCCTGCAGAGCTGCCCAGCCCCAGCGCCCATCATGGTCGCGGGCTGGGGTTAGGATGACCCCCTGGTGTGGACTCCTGCTACCGGGCCTGTAGCTGTCTCCACCCACACATACCAGAGGCCAGCACCTCCTTGGTAACATCGCATGCCCGTCCAAGCTCTGGGTGGGGAGCTCTCTAGAGTATGTGAGTATGGGAGGAGGCTCAGCTTGCTACAGGACAGCCCCCAAGAGAGACAAATTGGACCCTCTCCAGGAGCCCCCAGAATGGTGAGGGAGGAGGTCATGACATCAGACAGATGCCACACACTAACCAGCTCATCAGAGGAGTGCGGGAGGGCTTCCTGGAGGAGGGGAGGTTGGAGCAGCACTTGACAGATGGGGCTGGGGAAGGCATTCCAGGCAGAGCACACGATAGGGGCAAAGGCTCAGAGATGTTGGAATGTGGCTTGGGTAGCAGGCCGAGGGGAAGCTGAGAGTGTGCTGGGCCTTGCCTGCAGGCTAAAGACTTGGATGCTGTCATGTGGGCTGCGGGGAGCCAGCAGGGCTTTGGGGAAAGGAGAGACATGGCTGATCTGGTTCCGGAAGGGACCCTGTGGCTGCTGGTCTGTATTGGCCCTGCCAGGTGCTGGCAGGATCCAGGGGCGGAGGCGCTCACCCGGAGCCCCCACTGTGGCTGGACCAGGTAACTCCCGAGGGCCTCTCCAGCTCTGACAGCCATGTGGGGATTGCCATGGAAACCAGCCGGTTCCCGAGTGGGGACAAGCCCAGAAAGTCTCTGAGTGCCAGCCACGTGGACTTGGATCCTCACTGCCCCCCAAGTACAGCCGTTTTCTTCTTTCCAAAGGCCATGTCTGAGCCAGGGCCGAACCAAACAGACCGCCCAGACAGGCATCCAGTGGCAGGGGCCCTGCTCCACCCTGCTCGGCTGATACTCGATGCAGTCAAGATCTGGGGGCCAGCGCCAGCGGGGGCCCTCCCCGCCTAGTCCACCGTCCTTTACCCTGAAACTTGATAAATCATGCGCTGGAGGGGGAGGGAAGCTCGCAGCTCCATTACGAGTCCCGGCAAGGCCCCAGTGGGGCGTTAATCATGTAGCACTTTATGCTCTGATCGGTAAATAATGGGGGGGGGCCCGCAGGCAGAGGCCTTGGAGTGGAGGCCAGGCCCAGGAAAGTGGCCAAACCCCCTTGCCTGTGCCCTTCTCCAGCCTCTGCCCGCTATCTTTGTTTGAGGTGACTGAGCTCTCTAGAAGCAGCCATCACCTTGATGGGCCTCAGTTTCCCCAGCTCAAAACCCAGGGTTTTTCCAGCTCCAAGCGGCTGATTTCCTGGCAACCATTGGTGGCTCCCAGCAGAGCGGCGGGTGGGGAGGCTGTGGTTAAGGGCGGGGATCTGGAGCCCGCAGGCCTGCGCTGGAGGCTTGGATCTAGCCATTCCGGCTGTGTGCCCCTGGGCAAATCACTTCAACTCTCTGTGCCTCAGTTTCCTTTACTGTAAAGCAGCATCAACTCTTTCAGGGTGTGGTGAGGGTTGAATGAGATAATACAGAAAGAGGTCTCAGCACAAAGCAGACTGCACACAGCTGCTTGCTACTGTCACTCTACCGAACTGTTACTATGAGAAAGCTGCCCCTCCCCATCCTGGGGCTGGGCCTCTGAGCTCGGATGTGGGCAGCTGGAGAGAGGGCCCCGTTGTCACCTCTGTGTCCCCAGCTCATGGAATCCAGCCCGGAGATGTTTGCGCAAGGCTCCAAGCAGCCCTGTCTTCTTGGCTGTGTCCACAGCGGTCGTGCGATGACTCTGGGACCAGCGGTAGAGTCCTGCTGCAGAGCACAGCCTGCGGCCAGGCATATGGGCTGGACCCCGAGGAGACCAGGGGCTGGGGAGGAGGGTGTGAGATCGAACCTCCAAGTCCCCCCAGCCCCAGGAGGGAACTGCCAGTGTTCCCTGGAGAGGCAACTATTTCTCGGCTCCTGGCCTGGAGTCCCTTCAGGGGAGGAAGCTGGGAGGGAAACTGTTCCAGGGCTTGGAAAGACTGGCTTCGTGCTCTGCCCCTCCTGCTGGGGGGAGGGAAGCCTTTTCCCTGGGCCAGGGAAGAGCCGCTGGCTGCCCATCCCACACTGTGCTCCTCTGGGACCCAGGGGGAGGGGAGCTGGAAATGGGGCCAGGCCGGGCCGGAATGAGAAACAGCTTCATGAAGGGGGAGCTGGGTGTCTAGGGGCTGCGTCCAGCTAACTAAACAATGGCTGCTTGAGTCAGCGACTGTGGCGGTGGTTCCCAGGCGCCAGGGCAGAGCAGGCCGAGGCCAGAGCTCCCACTACTGTGTCCTTGGTGAGGGCGGTGTAGCCCATCCAGCCTCGGATGCTTTGACTTCAGGAAGCGGTGGAGTGGCTTGTCCCTGTCCTCGGGAGCTCCCGAGCCTCTGCTCCGTGGTCTGCATAGCTAATTGGGAACATTTATTGAGCACCTACAGTGCTTAGCACTGAAGGCTCCTATGAGCTCAGTCCTTCCATAAGCCCTAGGTGGTGGGTGCTATTGCTGTCTTATTTTACAGATGTGGAGTCCGAGGTTCAGAGGGGATGGTGCCTCCCATAGTGAGGTAAGAGCTGTGAGACTTAGGAGTCAGGAGCCTCAGCTTTCTCATCTGTAAAATGGGTACGCAGCAAGAGTGTGTGTGTGTGTGTGTGTGTGTGTGCGTGCGTGCACCCCCAGGGCTGTAAGGTGCCCCCAGTAGCTGTAGTGTCACACAGTAGGTCCTTAATCCAGCCAGGCTTGTGACCTAAGCCTGGGGCTTGTCCTTCCAGGCCATGCCTGTTTGGGGTGGGTGGGCAGATCATGCCCAGTCTGTGTGTTGGCCCTCAGGGCGGCCTGGCTGGCTGGCTTCAGCCCTTCCAGATGGTGTCCAGCTGGTCTGGATAACCTCAAAGCCCTGGAGCTGGGTGACCCGCCTCTTCCAGAGGGGTCAGGGAAACCAAGGCAGGCCTCCCCGAAGGGTCTGCCAGAGCTGCTGTGTCCTTTGCCGTTTGTCTGAAGCCTCTGCTCTTCTCTGTGCCTTGGTTTCTCCAACGTGCTCCTCCAGGCTGCTTTTCCTCTGTGGCTAAGGCCAGGCTTCCTGACCATGGTGCTAGGCCTGGTTGGCCATCTTCTCCCTACAGCCCCTCCAGGAAGCCTCTTGGTCACCCCTGAAGGCGCTGGTATTTACTTTCTCAGCAGCAGGTGGTCTCCTCCCTGGCATGGGGGCTGCTGCCAGAGGCCACCCAGGACCGAGTCCGTCCTGCCCCCTCCCAGGGCTGGCACACAGTGTGCCCATGGCTCATTCCTTGCCTCAGTTTACTCTCAGCAGAGGTGTCAGCTTGCACAGTGTTCTGAGAGGCAGTGCATGCTGAAGTGGAAGGAGCTGGGGTCTGGGAGTCACAGGTGTGGCTTCATACCCTGGCCTGGCTGTGTGCGGCTGGGCTGCTGGACTGAGACTGGACACAGTCCACAGGCCACCACTGAGCCCGTGCCACATGGGCTCCACTCAGGGGAGCCCAGGAGGACTGGCCCTACCTACCTGGGCTGTCCAAGCTGAGGGAGGAGTTGGCGGGGACGGGGGCTGAGAGAGGCCACAGAGGTCAGGGCCAGATTGAGTGGGGCTTCAAGGGCCCAGGAGCAAAGTTTGGGTTTGTGTTGACAGCACTAGGGAACCATGGGAAGCTGTTGAGCTGCACAGGAGATGTGACCTGCTTTGCGGGGTTTTTTTTTTTTACAAAATAAACTTTTTACTTTGGAATAATTTTAGATTTTCAGGAAAGTTACAAAGATAGTACAGACAGTTCCTGTATACCCGTCCCCTAGTTTCTCCCATTGCTAACATCTTACCGTTACCGTGGTACATTTGTCAAAACTAAGAAGCCAACATTTGTTCTTTACTCCCAACTAAACTCCAGACTGCACTCCACAAACGTCTGCTTTCTTTTCCAGGAGCCCATGTTGCATTAAGCGCTTTGCAGTTTTAAAAGCTCTCTTTGGCTCCCGTGAAGGATGAATGGGAAGGAGCCCAGCTTTGGGAGGAGCTGGGGGGTCCAGACAGCCCAGTCCCCGGCCAGGATGTAGTGAGCTGCGGTCACCTTGCAGTTTTTTTATTTTTATTTTTTCGAGACAGGGTCTCTGTCACCCAGACTGGAGTGCGGTGGTGAAATTATAGCTCACTGCAGCCTTGACCTCCAGGCTTCAGGCGATCCTTCCACGTCCACCTCCCAAAGCGCTGGGATTACAGGCGTGAGCCATGGTGCGAACGGCCCACCCTGCAGTCTTAATACCCCAAAGTGATCATGTGCTTTCAGCTCTGTGGCAAATTTCAGCTCTGTGGCAAGGAAACCTGACTTTCCCAGGATCATAAACAATCAAACACTTCAGGCAGGAAGGTGCCCTCACTTCTCAAGTGCAAAGCCTCCGCAGCCGGTGTGGTAGCCATGCAGTCTGTACCTGTGACGGAACCGCTGGATTTTGCAACCTGCCGCAGCGCCCACTGTTAATGCCGCATCCTTTTCATAGTGCCACCTGCGGTGGGTCTGCGGCAGGATGTGAGGCCTGAGAAGCCGGGCTCTTGAAGCGCTCCTTCCAACTGGCTTCCTGGGGAGAGAAAGTCAACACAATTACAGCTGGTAGTAAAATCAATATGTCAGAGTTTTAATGGGAGAGTGGGCAGAGCTGAGCTTTGGCCCCAGGAGGGAGCCAGCTGGAGGGGGAGGGGGCATCCTGCTCTCAAAACGGGGCCGAAACCAGCGGCGGTTGCTCATCCCATGTGAGAGAGGGATAAAGTGAGGTTTTTACAGGAACTGAAGCTAGCAGCCAGTGTTGCCTGGGCCTGAATACCCGCCTCCCTTTGTTGCCACACGCAGAGTAGGCATACGTTTCCCTCAGTTCTCCAGCACCCAGCATGGCCGTGTTGCTCTCAGTCACTCGACTTAGAGAGAAAGCAGCTGACCACAGTCGTTCACACTTTAGTCAAAATTAGGTTCCTTTCTTTTGTAAACATTCCCTCCAGAGCACAGGCTCCATGCTGGAGAACGTCATGCATGTGCTGCCATGGGAAATGTGTGACCAGCACAGTGCCATCACAGGAGTTGGGGGGCTGAGCCACATCTTGAAAACTTGCCGTCTGGGCATGCCTGGAGAGGGAACAGCATGGGTCCAGACACCGGGGGCGCTGAAGTGCCAAGGGGAGTACGAATGCCTCAGAGGCATGGGATGGGCATTGGCTGCTGAAGGGACATTTACAATGGTACAAGAGCCCCGGGTATGAGGTGTGGGCACATTCCAGGACCTGTGGAGACTGATGTGGTGGGCGCAGCGGGTGGGGCAGAGGGAGGAGGGAGACTGGAGGCCTGGGAGCTGGCAGGAGCTGGGGCACGAAGGCCTTGAATGCGAGGCTGGACTGCTGGGGCTTGATCCCGAGGACAGCCAGGAGCTGGGTTGTAGGTAGGGAGGGTCTGACCAGCTTTGTGTGAGAGAAAGATGGCCCTGTGACTTGGAGGGCGCTGCGGGGATAGCCGAGCCTTCCCTGCTCTCAGGAGAACTTGAGTTTTGAAAGACTCATGCTCATTAGCCTTTAAGGAGGACGGTGCTGGGGTCAGGGGGTATTTTGGGCCTGTGAGGCTAACTGTCCCTGGAGACCAAGTTCAGCCGAGGCCAGCATGCTCAGGACGTCTAGTCCCCGAGTCCCGTGTCCCCCTCCCCCAGCCTGCATCCCCCTCCCCCAGCAGGGGCGGCACTTCCCGCCACGCTGGGCTTCCGTGTTTGAGCCGGTTTGCCTTGTGATTTCCCCTGGCAGCTGGGGAATCAGCTTCCCCCTCGGAACACAGATCATTCGGAGCAGCCGACGGCTTACTTCTTTAAAAAAATTTTTTAAAATTTTATTTTAGGATAAGGGGAAAAAACGCTGGGGGAAAGGCCTTTTAGAAAATTCCTTCGGTGCAGAATTAATGGCTTGTGAAAGTCAGCGCGGGGTGGGGGAGGGGGGAGCGGGCTCCCAGCGAGCTCCCCTCCCTCCTGCTCCCCTCCTCCCTGCTGCCCTAGCCCACAGATCACCCCGAGCTGGGCGCCTGGTCCGCCTTTTCCCAGGACCCCACCCTGGCTGGATGTCAGGGTATGCCCAAAGGTGTCATCTGGGGCCTCCCAGGTGTCCCCTTCCAGAACTTATGTTCCCTTGGTGGGAGGGATTCACAATTTTAATTTTAAACAACTTATTTTTAAATGATGCAAGTAATTCATATTCAGTGAAAAAAGTTACTTAGTTACCTAGCCCCTAGGAAAATCATCCCTCGCAGTGGTGAGGATCCCACCTCACCTCTTCCCTGCAGCTGCAGGATTGCTGAGGGGTGGGACCCCGCCTGGTTGGGGCAGCTGGGGAGACCGCTCAGCACCCACCTTCCAGGGCTGTCCCCAACTGTAACACACACAGGATGGAGTCGGGTAGGTCAGGGCTGGCACTGAGAGGAGGTGCCAATGATGCAGCTCTCGGGTGGGGGGGAATGGCTTCCTGGGCAGAGGGAGCGGCCAGGCCAGAGGTCCTGAGGCAGGAACGAGCTTGTGATATTTGAGGCACAGAAATGAGGCCAGTGTGGCTGGGGTGAAGGAGCAAGGGCAAGGGAGGTGTGAAATGGAGTTAGAAGATGAGGGGACCCACGGGAGGATTTAGGATTCAGGATTTATTCTGAGTGTCCTGGAAACCATGGGAGGGCTTGAATCGGGGGAGACCTGCTTTACATTTTTAAAGGGCTCATTTGGCAGCTGTGTTAGCAGATAGGAAATGTCAGTGTAGGGGGCAAGAGTGGTCTTGGAAAATGAAGAGGGCTGGGAGGGCTGTCCAGGTGAGAGGATGGCTGCTCAAAAGCTTTAAGGTAGGCATGATTTGCCCTGAATTTTCTTTCTTTCTTTTTTGATCAGCAGTTGAACATGGGTAACTTTTACTTCATAATAATAACATAAGCAGCAGTCATGTCTGAAACACAATAGTATCGGCTAACACTTCCTGGACACTTACTGTGGGCCAGGTACTGTATGAACACTTTAACCTGCTCCGTTTCCGACCTGGGCCAGTTCACCCCTCCTTAGGCAACCTGGTGGTCCCCCGCTCCCGGGAGGTCACCATATTGATGCTGAACTTAGTGTGGACACCCGATCAGCATAGCACACTACAGCCTAGAACTCCTGGACTCAAGTGATCCTCCAGCCTCAGCCTCCCAAGTAGCTGGGAACTACAGGCACGTGCCACCACGCCCGGCGTTTGGGAACACTTTAAAACAAATGATTCATCCCAGCCTCTATGCGGAAAACACTATGGATATACCCATTTTATAGTTGAGTAAAATGAGGCTCAGAGGCGAAGTGCCTTGCCTGGGTCACCCGCCGTCATCCTCCGGAAGACCATTCCCTCCTGTATGTTGGTCCAGGGCATCCCCAGCCCATCACACCTCTGGGCTCAGGGCTTGGCCCCCAGGGACATGCTGGAAACAGCCCCAGCCTAGAAGCCCATCCGGCCGTAACTGTGTTTATTTGCCCAAGCACAGAAGGACCCACTATTTATTGCTTTCTTTTGAAAACTAGCTGAGCCTGTGCAAAAACCAGGCAGGCACATCATCAGTGGCTTAAGCTTGCAAAAAGCACAGACAAGAAATTTAAAAAGAAAAATCTTTAAAGCTTTGCCCTAAAGATGGTTCCAATGCTGCCTTCCGGTGACCTCCCTGAGTCCTGCTCTGAGCCTCTGATGTCCAAATGCAGCTGAGGCATGGGCTCAAGTCTGCTACCTGGGTCAGCCCTGGGGGCGTGACATTGTAGTTAGCCATTTTCCCCTCTGAGCCTCAGTTTCCCCATCTGTGAGATAGGACCCCTAGGGCTGCCAGGATTCTGGGAGTCAGTGCACTGGCCTGGTACAGTGTCAGTTCCCAGTAAATGTGGCCTGTTATTATGTTTACTGTTGTGACTATTTATTGTTTATGCACCAGTTTTACCAAAATGGGCCCATGACATCCTGTGACTTTTCTTGTAATCAGTGTGGGCTTATGGCGTCACTGCGGGATGGGGGCTGCTCTCCTGGATGATAAGCCATGATGGACGCACTCAGTCCCATCCGACACATGTGTGTGTCCCCTTTTCACTCCTCTGCACCACCCTTGTGCCTGCGTCTTTGCGGAGTTGCACAGTTATTGTCTCAGGGTCACTTCCTGGAGGCCTGTTTTCTATTTTTGTGCAAATTGCACCAGGAACCTTTGAACATACCAAGACCCAGGAGAAGGGAGGGAAGGTAGGAGCAAGTTCAGGGAACAGCCCGGACATGGGATCACCTCTCACAGCTGCCCTGTGAGCCGCAGCTGATTTGCTGCTGGAGGGCATGGGTGATGCTGGGCTGTTGTGGACATGGGACTGTGCATTCAGACACACCCAGCCTGTTTGTCCCCCTGTAATGTGGGCAGATGAGGGGATAGGTGCTTGGGGAGGGAAAGAAAGGCTGCGGTTTAGGGAGGCCTCCACCTGGAGTCTTGCAAGCTGCTGGGGCTTTGGGGTGGTGGTCCTAGGGTCAGAGCAGACACCCGGCAGGAGGAAAGCCCATGGTTGCTGTGGAGACGCAGAGCCAGCCGGGGCTGTAGGAAAACAGCCGAGGCAAGAGGGACACCTCTTGGGTGCCAGCGGGTTAAGCTGAGGCTGACGGTGGCCTCCGGTCATCTGGTGTGGACTCCTCTGCTCTTCCCAGCTGTGCCCAGCCAGGAGGGGCAGCCCCAAGGGGGTGCGGGTGTAGCTCTCACCCTGGCCGGCCTCCCTGGACTCTTTAAAATCAAACCTGACCTTGTTCCCTCGCCTGCTGGTTCCCGTGTACCTTGAACATCATCTCCTTGGAACAGCTCTGTAACCAACACTGAGGTCAGGGCAGGCCTGGGCTTGGGGATGGGGTCCCGTTTGTGTTTGGGCCTCAGCTGAGCACTGAGGATATAAAGTAGGAACAAGACTTGAAAGCTCTGATGCCAGGGCCTGAGATCCCAGCCAGCTGTGCGGGCGGGGAGCCGGAGAAGGTTCTGGAGCTGGGATCTGACGTGCCGTTCCTCTTCCAGCTCCAGCCAGAGCAGCTGGACTGTGGAGCTGCTCACCTGCAGCACCCGCTGTCCATCCTGCAGCCCCTGAAGGCCACGCCCGTGTTCCGCGCCCCGGGCCTCACCTCCGTGGCCGTGGCCAGCGTCAACAACTACACAGCGGTCTTCCTGGGCACGGTCAACGGGAGGCTTCTCAAGGTAGGTATGGTTGGGGATGTGGGGAGGGGGTGGGGGTGGGAGGCTCCCCTGGGAGTTGGCTGAGGGGGTCAGTCTGTACACAGGGCTGCTACAGGTCCAGCCTGACCCTTTGTTTTCTCCCATTCGCCTAGCACTTTACAGTTTACAAAGTATTTTGCAAGTCTGTTTTTGCCACTATTGCTCATAATATAGGTGGCGTCCATACAGAGGAGGGAAACCAGGGCTCAGAGAGGGTGATTCTCTCAGAGGCTCTAGGACTGGGGCTTTGAAACTGTATGGCTCTGAGTTCAAATGTCTGGGCTCTGCCATTTGCTGGCCCTTTGACCTTGGGCAACACATATTCTCTCTCCAGGCCTCAGTTTCCCTGTCAAGGGCTGTAAGCTGTTGTGGGGCTTTGGCAGGGTAAGGCCATGGCCTGGTGAGCAGGAATGCTCATTCATTTCTCCTCCCCAGCCCTGCCAGCCACCCCGTCCCAGGGTGACTGGTGTCTAGAGTTAACTGTACCCCAGCCCGTGGCCCCGAGATTCCTGGAGCTGGGAGGAGATGCGCAGAATCCAGTTTCCCTGCTCTGGGGCAGGACAGACATGGCGGAGCCTGGGCCAGACCCCCAGGTGCAGCCCTGGACCTGCCCCCAACCCAGCCATCTCTCCTGCTCCCTCTTGGGAGACTAAGCTAAGCGCCACCACTCTATTCATGCACCAGGCCCGGCCTAACTGCTCAGATCTGATCACCCAAGTCCCCCCCAACCCACTGCCTGGGCAGACGCTGTGGGCTGGGTGGGCGTGGGGAGTGGAGTCCCAGGACCCCACCGCTGTGGCTGGGGAGAGGAAAAATGTGGGGCTCGTCAATGGGGCTCGTGGTTTGGGGTCAGATACTCACATTCGGAGTCTGGCTCTGCTGCTTCCAGCTTGGTGACTTGGGGCCAGTTTCTTCTCCCCTGCGAGCCTCAGTGTCCTGGCTTGGGAACATGAGCCAGGCCCCTCCCCCACCCCCGACACCCATGAGGCTGCAGTTGTTAGGCGCCTACTGTCTACCCAGAGCCTAAAGGGCATCCTCTCACTTAATTCTCACACCCCTGCAAGGGAGGCAGAGGCACGATTCTCATGCCACAGATGAGAACGTTGAGGCTCTGAGAGGGGAAATGATTGCCCCAGAGTCGCACAGCAGGAGCTGGCCCATAGCCCACACCCCGCCACAGCCTGGAGCCCCTCACCTACCACCCTGCACAGTGTGGCCTCTGTCTCCAGCCAACCCTGCCCTGCTCGGGCCTTAAATCGCCACACCCAGCACAGGCCCTGGGGCACAGTAGTTGCTCAATAAATGATTGAAGGAGTGGAAATGACTTGAGTGTCCACTGGACGCCTGGACATAGGGGTGGGTGCGGGCAGTGGCCTGAGCCCCTGCAAGGCTCCGCCAAGAGGCCACGTGGGACAGGAGTGTCTCAGGCTGGGACAAAGCCCATGGAAGCCTGGGGAGAAGGTAATTTTGAGTTGGTGTGTAGAGGCTTCTGGGCCTCATGTGTGCATTGGTAGAAGGGGAACAGGAAGGAATATTCCAGAGGAGAGCACAGCATAGGCAAATGCCTGGAGGCTGGAATGTGTGAGCAGGGTTGAGGGGGTGGAGATAAAGCTGGGGTTGTCCGGGTTAGATCACCAGGACCTTGAGTGCCAGAACAGGTTCATTCCATAAGCAGAAGGGAGCCATGAAGGGTTTGGGAGCCCCAGGAGGAAGGCTGGGGCAGAAACTGGCCTGGGAGGTGTCCGGACCACTGGCCCCATCTCAAAATGCCCAGCCTGGGGCCTGGCAGGGCCCAGACAAGACAACACACTGGGAACAGGCAGGGCCAGGCAAAAAAGAGCAGAGTTTGGTGGGGCTCTGACCGGTATTGTCATCCTCAGGAGGACACGCAGAGGGTCCCTCAGAGCCAGAGAAGCTTCCAGGCCCCAGATAATCCTGGTCTTCCTCCTCCCTGCACCTTGGTTCCACACCCCTAGCCTTAAGCCTTGGACTGTGGGGTCAGGCAGGCCTGGTATTGCATTGTAGCCTTGTGATCTCTTCACTTTGTGCCTCTTGCCAACTCCCTCGGCCGCTCCCAGCCTCAGATTCCTCTTCGGTGAAATGGGCGTCGGGGGGAGGAATGAGACGTGCAGCCTAGCAGCTTCCCCGGGCCTGACCCCATCAGCCTGGCCTGTGTCTTATTTAATGCTCATGGCCCGCCTGCCCCATTAGCTCAGGAAACAGGCTCAGAGAGGGGAGGCAGCTTGTACAACTTACACATTGTAGAGCTCCTCAGTGTCAAAGCCAGAATCCAAACCCAAGCCCCTGCCCTTAGCCATGGTGCCTAACAGCCTCCCAGAGCACGTTTCGTAAACTACAAAGCCTGCACACGTTCACAGGGCGGGATGCCTTGGAGACGAGCCCAGAAGGAGCTCCTGGTGGGGGCACAGCAGAGGCAGAAGCATCAAGGCCCGGCCCTGTGCCCTCCCCTGCACGCCCGTGACTTCCCACCCCTCCTGAAGGGTCCAAGACAGGATGGGGAGGCAGAGCCCCCAGACCCGGGCTCAGGTTGTCCCCTGGGTTTGGCCTCCCCTGCTATGGGCTCCAGCACCCTGATGCCCACTACCCCCACAGATCAACCTGAACGAGAGCATGCAGGTGGTGAGCAGGCGGGTGGTGACTGTGGCCTATGGGGAGCCCGTGCACCATGTCATGCAGTTTGACCCAGCAGACTCCGGTTACCTTTACCTGATGACGTCCCACCAGGTGAGGCCAGAGCCCCAGCCCAACGCCATCCCAGCACCAGCCGAGCCCTCTTGCTTGCCTGGCCTTTACACACGCTGTTCCTCTGCTGGGAGCACCCTCCTCCTCCATCTCCCTTATCTGCTAACTCCACCTTGTCCTGCGCCTCCCAACACCGACCTTGCCTCTGCAGGGAAGCCTTGTCTCCCATGTTCCCCCATTAGAGTGTTGACCCTCAGTTTCCCCAGCCTCTCATGGCCCGCACCATGCTGACCGTACCACCTCCCCAAGGGAGAGGCTGGCAGTCCCATTGAGCTGGGCCCCCACCTCTGCCCCCAGATGGCCAGGGTGAAGGTCGCCGCCTGCAACGTGCACTCCACCTGTGGGGACTGCGTGGGTGCGGCGGACGCCTACTGCGGCTGGTGTGCCCTGGAGACGCGGTGAGGCTGGACACCAGCAACAGCTGGACCAGGAGGGCTGTGGGGGTGGGAGGAGCTGACCTGGGTCCTGACCCTGCGGTGCCACCCCAGGTGCACCTTGCAGCAGGACTGCACCAATTCCAGCCAGCAGCATTTCTGGACCAGTGCCAGCGAGGGCCCCAGCCGCTGTCCTGCCATGACCGTCCTGCCTTCCGAGATCGATGTGCGCCAGGAGTACCCAGTGAGTCCTGGGGGAGGCAAGACCCAGCTCGGGACACAGGGGAGCCTCCCTTCACCCAGCACCCAGGCCCCGAGAGGTGGAGACTCCCACCCATGGTGCCCCAAGGACCTGAAGACAAATAATGAGAACAGTGACAATGACTGGGCTTTCCTGACCAACTAGTAAGTGCCAGGCACGTGCTCTGTGCTTGACGTCCACCTCCGTTAGGCCTTACACACCCTATGAAGCAGATGCTTTTGACATCCTCATTTTACAGATGGGGAAACTGAGGCACCAAGTGGTGAAACGACTTGCTGCAGGTCGCACAGCTAGGGAGTGGTAGAGCTGGAATCTAAACTCAAGAGGCGGGTTCTAGAGACCCAGGAGGGAGGGTACAAGTTGGAGGCTTGGAGGACAGTGAGTTCCACCCACCTTTTCCCAGAACAGGGGATGGAGGGAGGGACCACCAGGTGCCAGACTGAAATTTCTCCTTCTCAGAAACAGATAAACCTGCAATGCAGGGGGCTGGGTCTCCCCCGGCTTGTGCCAGGAGGGCTCTGGCAGGCAGCCTTGGCGGTGGGGGATTCTGGGCCCCGGCAAGGGGTGGGAGCCGAGGGTCAGACAGGCCTGGGGTTCATGCATCTGGCTCTCAGTGACTTCTCTGAGGATGAGGGTCCTCTTCTCTCACCCTGGGGGGCTCTGACAGCCCGGCTCTGGCCTGTAGCTGCTCAGCATCTGGGGCTCCTCTGCCCTGCCCTGCCGTTATCACACATCACAGAGTCCTTCCCTCATTCATTCAGTCATTTCATTTATTGGACAAATATTATGGAACACGTACTATGTGCCAAGCACAGTTCTGGACTCTGGGGACACATCAGTAATCAAGACAGACCCCTGGCCCCAGGCTCATGGGGGAGGAGAATAGGCAAGATAAAACCTGAAGGTGATGCTAAGTACTGTGGAGAAAATGAAAGCAGAACAGGGGTGGGGAGCGGGTTGTGGGTGCAGACATCTCAGGCCAGGTCAGGTAAGATATGCAGGAGGGGAGCCAGGGTGAGCATCTGGAAAGAGCGTCTGGGTGGAGGGAACTGCCAGTGCAAAGGCCCTGAGGTAGAAACAAGATCAGCTGTTTCGGAGAGTATTAGGGGATGGGGTCAGAGGTCACAGGGGCCAGATCATGCAGAGCCTTCTTGACCACTGTAAGATGATGTTTCATTTTGCAGCTGGGGAAACTGAGGCTCAGAGGGTCACATGTAGGGCATAGCCCTCTGGCCCTGAGTCCTGGCCACCACTACCCCTTCCCCCAGGGGACATTCAGGCAGTGCCAGACCTTGGGTTGGTGCACAGCCCTGGGGCAGGCTGTGAGGAGCATAGCCTGGACCCCCAGAGCTGAGGGCTCCTTGCCCCCAGGGCATGATCCTGCAGATCTCGGGCAGCCTGCCCAGCCTCAGTGGCATGGAGATGGCCTGTGACTATGGGAACAACATCCGCACTGTGGCTCGGGTCCCAGGCCCTGCCTTTGGTCACCAGATTGCCTACTGCAACCTCCTGCCGAGGGACCAGTTTCCGCCCTTCCCCCCCAACCAGGGTAAGCACGCTGTGCTGTTGGCACAGCCCCAGAGGGGCAGAACGGTGGACTGTCAGGCATGGGGATGGCAGGGGGCCAGAGGTCACAGCTTCTGATGTTGGTGGCAATCCCCTGCCCCCATGTCCTCCCCTGGCTCCCCCATCCATTCCAGACCACGTGACTGTTGAGATGTCTGTGAGGGTCAATGGGCGGAACATCGTCAAGGCCAATTTCACCATCTACGACTGCAGCCGCACTGCACAAGTGTACCCCCACACAGCGTGAGTGGCTTGGGTGGCTTGCCTCCAGTTGGTGGAGGGAGGAACGCATCCCCGGGAAGGGTCTTTGCTTTCAGGGGGCCCTGAGAAGAAAAATCATAGCATCGTAGAGGTAGACAGGCCCTTCAGTTGTTCATTCACCAGCACATTTATTCATTCTACAATAAATGCATACTGCCTGATGCCTGGCCTCTGTGGACAGCCAGGTGGGACGGGGCAAAGTGCTTTGATTATACTCAGTTTAGTCTTCTAAAGGCCCTGTCTCTTTTAACTCCTATTTGTATACCTCTTGTTAGCAGGCAGCTCACTACCTTAAAGACCCAATCTTTCCCAGGCAGCCCCGATGATGAGAAAGACCTTTCCCTGTGCTGGGATCTGCCTTTTGGGTTCTAGTTCCTGGGACAGGGATGAGTTGAGGGGTGGGGAACCAGGAGTTGAGGGGCCTCCTTGTCTTCCAGCTGTACCAGCTGCCTGTCGGCACAGTGGCCCTGTTTCTGGTGCAGCCAGCAGCACTCCTGTGTTTCCAACCAGTCTCGGTGCGAGGCCTCACCAAACCCCACGGTAAGCCAGGCTAGGGGGCCCCTCCGCCTCTGCTGTTTCATTACCTTTTTTAAAAAATTCACATGTTGAGAATGTTTCAATGCCTTTGCATATTCCGCCTTAGCTTTGGCTTTGACAGCTATATGGGGCTCATCACATACCACGGTGCGTTTAACCCATGCCCTATAGTTGGACATACTAATTATTTCCTCTTTTTTGCATTTTGATATAGCCAGGGCACTATGCATATCCTTGATGATTCCCTGAAGACCGCTTCTTAGAAATGACCTGTTGGGCTGGTAGTGTGGCCATAGTTCTACACCTTGAGCTCAGCTGCCTTCCAGAAAGCCTGAGCCAGTTTATACCCCCACTGCAGTAGGAAGACCATTTCAACAACCCTAGGTGTTCAGGGCATTTGTCCTCAAGGCCTGTGGAGGTGATTCGCTTAAGGTCATCGACTCAGGCAGTACCAGACTTGGGCCTTAACCCAAGTCCCTCTGCCCCTGGAGCCCATATTCTCCCCTCCTGTGAAAATCAGGAACTGGGTGGAAAGGGCCCTGCCTGGGTTTCTGCACGAGCAGTGGCGTCCCAAGGGTGGGTGGTGCTGCAGCTGTCCCTGGACAGGGAGGATGGGCTGGCCTCAGAAACCACACGCTCCCAGGTCCTCATGTCAGTCCCTAGGACCCTGCAGTCTGACTCCATGCTTGTCAGGGGCCAGGCCTGCCCCAGCACTGCATGGTGGTTGGGTTTAATCAACTAAATGGGGTGGGAGCAAGAGGAGGAAATGTAAAAATGGATCAATCTAGGCTTTTTAGTGTAAAGATAAAGTAAAAATGGACATGCCACATACCTCGCCCCTGGTTGGTTTCTGAGACTTGTTCACTTTCCAGGTGGCCTCTCACCTTTGCCCAGGAAGCCTCTAAGGCCACCGCAGCCCGTGCCAGGATGGCCAAATGGGATGCCTGGGACCTTGGCTGGGGTGATAAGGCCTAGCCAGGTGGGATGTGCCAGGGTCCTGAGATCACAGCTCGTCCCCTCTCAGACCTGGCGCGTATCAGGGCTGTGGGTGGCTGGGGTAGGGCACCAGCCTTCCTGCAGCTCATCTCTCCAGGCAAAGGCTGGTCCTGCCCATATTCCAGATGGCACAACTGAGATAACCAGCATGGCACCTGGTGCCCTGGCTCCCTGCAGAAGGTCACTGGGGCCCCTTTCTGGGCACACATCCCGGGGAAGCAGCCCCAGCGCCCAGAGCCTCTGCAGCCCCAGCCTTTTTGCACTGAGCTCAGAGAATCTTCTCAGGAATCCCTGAAGCCCTGTCTACCCCGGCAGTTGCTAAGGAGGGGGCCCCATGGCCTCAGCCTGGAATCCCCTGCTCGCTCGCAGTGCGCAGCACCTCCCACCTGAGCCCCATAACTGCTTTGAAGAAGAGCCTGGCAGGGGCCATGCTTAATTCTATTCGAAGAGGGGCTTGGCAGCAGGGGGCTTCCAGCACTGGAGGAGAGCCCAGTGGAGTCGGTGCAGTGAAACCATACGGGAGCCCTGAGCTGCTCCTGGACCCCCAGATTCCACAGTTGGGACCCCACTAGGACTCCTGCTCCTGTCTGGGGACCCCATCTCAATCACGTCTCTTCCTTCCAGCTCCCAGCCCAGGGTTGTGTACACAGCAGGGGCTCGGTTATGGTGGTGGGAAGCATCACACTGGGCAGCAGCCTGCTTCTTGTGCGCTAACCTAGGGGATGCGAGGAGGACCCAGCCTCGTCACAGTCCGTTCAGCATTTATTGAGTGCCTGCTGTATGCCTTAGTCAGTACTGGGCCCTGGGAAAGAACCGAGTTGGACTAGTCCTGCCATCACGAGCCAAGAGCCTCAGGTGTGAGCTGTGGCTGTATGATCTTAGGGAAGCTACTGAATCTCTCTGTGCCTCTGTTTCCCCATCTATAAAATGGGACCTGCCTGAAGGGTTTGGTGGGGATCTGGAATTATGCCCGTAAGATACCAACTCTATACTTGGCACATAGTAGATGCTCACTACAAAGCCACCATGCACCTTGGGAACTGATGGCCACTCTCTGTGGGTGGGCCAGAGTGAGGATTTCAGAGAGAGGATTTCAGAGAGAGGATTTCTCTTGAGAGGGGACCTTCGTGCTGGGTCTTGAGAGATGCATAGGAGCTCACCAGCTGGGAGGGAGTTCCATGGCAGCGTCCTGTCAGATGGCTGTCCCCCAGGTCTGCAGTTCTTCAGGCCAGGAGCTGGGGTGGAGGCACAGAGGAAGCCTGTCTGAGAATTACAGTAACTAGCCGAAGAGGCAGCTCTGCCCCGGGCGTGCAGGAGGCTCTGAACTGATGTTTAATTTGGCATTTAATGAAGTGCCAGTTAGTCGTAGTGGTGCCGTGGTCTCTGTGTGAACAGCAGGCAGCAGGCAGCGGGATCTGCACACCACGTGGCCCCTCGGGAGCCGGGAGAAGTGTCCCTGGGAAGGGAGGTGCTAGGGCCTGAGTCTCCTGTCACGTTCCCATTGTCCCTCATGGTCCCCGCGTGAAAGATGTGCAAAGTGGAGGATGCTGGAAGGAGGGCTTCAGCTTTAGGGGAGGCTGGGAGGAAGGTGGATGTGTGCCCCGTTTGCAGGTGCCTGAGGGATGAGGTAGCTTCCCTGGGGGTGGCTTCCCAAGGACCACTCATAGGTGTAGGTGGTCACTACGGGCCAGTGGAGAGAGTGGGGTGGTAGGAACATGGGGGCAATTGTGGGGGTCCCTGGGGGTACAGAGACGTAGGGAGGGACCAGGTGGATTCAGGGTCCCTGGGTTGTTGAGTGCCTTGATGGTTTGGGACACCAGTTCTTCCCCTGGAGTTTAGGAGAGGCCCTGTGAGAGCCACGAGGACTCCTCCAGCCTCGGTTCTCTAGAATGGGGGTGAGCATCCACCTGGCCACAGGTTACAAGTGGCTAAGGGGAGTGGGGTGGCCCTCGGGGATGGTCACACATCATTCACTGTGGGGGCCCTCTTGTGAGAGCGCCTCCTGCCCTGACTCTCACACCTCAGCCCCACATCAACACCTACCCACCGGGTGGGCTGGGGCCAGGAGGACAGAGGCTGGGCCCCAGCCAGCCGCAAAGCAGACCTGGCAGTGGCTTCGAGGCCTGAGTGGAAACATGGATTCCATGCCCTCGGATTCCGTGGGGTTTACACACAGCACAGGATGGCAGCCTGCGGTCTGCAGGGGGCCCGCCGCTGACTCCGTCTGGGCCCCTCCTTGGTAGGAACACGGAGGCCCGGAGAGGGTCAGTGGCTCGTGTATTCTGGCACAGGGAGCCAGCAGCACCCGGGCCTGGCTATGCTGCTTCTCTTGCCAAGCCCCTGAGGTCTGCACCAGACCCTGTCCCTAGGGGAACTCACCACTCTGGTCTCGTGGTCAGCAAATGGTCTGGACAACTGGAGCCTTCCTGTGTTGCTCATTCCACTGTAGGCAAACTGCTTTGCTTCTGTGTGCCTCAGTTTCCTATTCTGTAAAGTGGGTGTAATGATAGTATCTACCTCCTAGGGTTGTTGGGAGTAGAATTTGGTAAATTAAAAGAGTGCAAAGTGCTCAGAACGGTCCCAGCAGAGGGAGGGCTAGATGAGCTGGTGACTGCCACTGTTATTAGCATTATCGTCATCAGTTCTTGTTGTTGGCATTGGCATCCCCTCGAGGTCCGGTTTTGGGCTGGGGTCCCTGAGGGGAATCAGTCCCTGTCCTGCTCTCATCTGGTGTAGAATAAAGAAGCGTCTCATATTTTGTCCCAAGGCCTTTGGCCTGGCTGGGTGACCTCACGTGGACACACGTGGCCCATGGACGCTTTTGCTTTCTGGCCTGATTCTAACCCAGATCCTTCTGCAACCAGCCTTGGGAAGGAGGGCAGAGTAGGAAGTCCCTGAGCTGAAGGGTGGTTGTAGTCCCCTTGGCATGGGTGTGGCTGCTCCAAGGTCCCCAGTCCTGCCCTGCTCATGGTCCCAGCAGGTCAGATTCGGGAGCAGGAGGAGGCAGGAATGGCTCACTGGGGCCACCAAAGCTGGAGAACACAGGGCAGGTTGGGGGGTCCATACCTCCCAGCTCAGAGCGATCACTAAGGTGGACATGGCGGGAACAGCCCTGCCTCTGGTCTCTGCCCCTCCCCCAGGCCTCAGTTTCTTATTCTGTACAGTGGAGCATGGATCCCAGGAGCCTGGAGACAGCAGTTCCCAACCAGGCCTTGAATCCCTGCAGCGGGGCTAGACCTCTGCATCTTAACACGCGCCCCAGCTCGGAGGACCCCAGAGTCAAGACACCTGGGGCTTCAGGGGCCAGCCCTGTCCTCCGCCCTCAGGCAGCTCACTGCTCTTGGAGGCTCAATCTCCCCTCCCTCCCTTCCATCCTTCATCCCTCCTTCCTTCTTTCCTTCCCTCCCTCCTCCCTCCTTCTTTCGTTCCATGAAGCAGCTGCTCTGCCAGGCCTCAGTGACTCCACCACCAAACAAGAGCCAACCATGTGCTGTCCCCCCATGAGCCCGGGGCCCTTCCTGGGAGTATCTGGGGCTGGCACCTTCACCTAGAGGCTGTGACTTATACCCGGGCTGTGGGGAGGGGTGTCCCCTGGAGACCGGTGGTATCTGGCCCTCTGAAATGTCCTCCTGGTATTCAGAGCCCTCCCTGTGCCTTTCCTATGGGCTGTTTGGAAGCCCAAGGTTTCTCTTTTCTGAATCGCTTAACACGGGTCAGTCAGGAAGCTGGAGTTTCAGCCCTGGGGGCATCTCAGGGAGTGGGTGCAGCCCCCCTGTTCTACTATTGGGAAAGGTGAGGCCCAGAGACAGGGAGGAGCTGGGCCTGGAGTTCAGCCTCCCAGCCTCGTCTGAGGCCAGGGAGCACTCATGGAGGAAATTGGCCCCACCACTGGGCGGGTTATGCCATCTGCCTGTGCCCACCTTCCTCATCTTTAAACAGGGCCAATGCGACCTGCCCATAGGATGGAGGGTGGTGGCGAGTGGGAGGCACGGGGTGGGGCTGGTGGCCGTTAGGACTGAATGACTAGTGTTTTCTCCTCAGGAAGGCAGGACTGAACCAGGCAGGCTGGGGTGCAGTGAGTCCTCCTGCCTCTTCTCTGAAATGCCCCTGTGTCACCCTCTCCTTCTGTTTCCTCTGCAGAGCCCTCAGGACTGCCCCCGGACCCTGCTCTCACCCCTGGCACCCGTGCCTACGGGTGGCTCCCAGAACATCCTGGTGCCTCTGGCCAACACTGCCTTTTTCCAGGTAAGTAGAAGCCAGGCCAGCGCCGGGTGGGGCCAGGAGGAGGCCGGGGAGCACGCAGGCCACTAACTGCCCCCATGTCCTGGTGTGACCCCTGCTCTGGGCCCACTGCAGTGCTTTCGCACCTGTGTGGGCTTTGCTTTTCTTTCTCTGAGTTTCCACCTTCTGCATGAGGAAGCCCCACTCTGACTGCACGGGGCTGCAAGAAGAGGAAGTGGTGAGGGCCAGGCCAAGGGGGACAGCTGGGGGCCAACAGCTGCCAAGGGAAAGCCAGTGCCCCCAGGCTCTCCTGCCCCGTGCCACAGCCGGAGGGTGGACGCTGCCCTATCCTGTCCTCCCTTAGCCTGAGCTGTGACCCTGGACACACCCACCCACCGCCGAGCCCACTGCCCCGTGGGTGGCTTCCATGTCTTCCCTGCAGAATGACCAGAGAACCCCTTGGCCACCCCATTCCCCATTGTCCAGATGGGGAAGATGAGGCCCAGGAAGGAAAAGTAGATGACGCCAGATCACACAACACAGGGCTGGACTTGTGCTTAGCTCTGGACTCCCCAACCAGTGCTCGTCTTTGCAACTAGCCCCGCCCCCACCATCTGGGCTGGGGGTTGGGGACGCAGCTCCTTTCTGGACCCCTCCTGGAGGCGCGTCCTGGGTGGGAAGCGTTGACGAGTCCTGGAGGCGTGCCAGCCACCCCCCTCCCCACCTCCCTGGAACTCGCCATCTGTTACTTCCATGGAGGAGCTGAGGCCCGTGAGAGCTGTCACACGTGGTGGCCACGTGCCGGGCATCTGGGATGTGTCGGGAAGCCTCGTGGCAGGGGCTGGAGCTCTGGGAGGGCTAGGGTGGGGCCTGCCCTCAGCCCTCAAGCCCCACCCTGCAGGAGTTGGGGCAAGCGCCTCCAGGATCAGCCAGGGGGCTGGGTGGGTGGGCAGGATGGCTCTGCCCCTGGGCCGTGGGCGCCTGGGATGGGGAGGTGTGAGCCTGACTTGAGTCCTGCCGATTCTTCCCAGCTGTGTGGTGGGGCAGCCTCCACTCTGACCGAGCTGCAGGGGCGCCTGCCCTCCTGCTCCCCAGGGCCTGCTCCTAGAACACTGAAGTCAGGCCCAGCGGTGGGGGCCTGTTTGCTGAGCCTACACCCTGGGGAGCTCTGGGACGGGCCGGGTGTGCTGTTCTGAGGTGGCTGAGGACTAAGAGGAGGGACCCATCTCCAGCTCAGCATGGCAGGGGACAAAACGGGCTTTTGGCCCCGTCAGCAGCCACTTTCCTGTGTTAGCTTCCGGGCTGGGACCCCAGAAGCAGGGAGGTTGACCTGCATTCTCCTCAGGGTGTCACATCTGCCAGCCACAGGGACATAAACAGGAAGCTCTGCCACGCAGCTGGCTGGGTGCTTGGCGTAATACACAAAACCTGAGTCTGTTTACTCAGCAAATATGTATTGGTGCTGCTCCTGAGAAGGCCAGATGAGCCTGGGGAACTGAGCCTCATGACACAAACATTATTGGATACCTCCTGCATACTAATGATAGCAAGCACATATTAGGCCCCTACCGTGTGCGGCCCCTTGAGGTACACAATCTCCAGTTTTCCCAGCAACCCTATTCCCATTGTCCAGGTAGGAAAACCAAGCCTCAGAGAAGGGGTCAACTTGCATGAGGTCACATAGCTGGGACATGCAGAGGTGGGGTTTGAACCCAGGCCAGGGCTCTTCCAGCTGCTTTCTGCTGCCCTTGGGGGTGGTGTCAGAGCGGCCGAGCCCTGACCGTCCCCGGTTGGCGAGGGGACAGGTAAGCAGCCAGGCAAGAGGCTAAGGGTGATGCCTGGCACACAGGGATGGGGGCAGCTCTAGGAGCTTCGTAGTGCCCCAGCAGACACCTGAATAGTTGCTGCTGAGGGAATGAATGAGGATCAAGTGAGGCACACCCCTTTGATTTGAGGGCAGCATCTGGGAAGGCTTCAGAACAGGGGGCTTTTAAGCTGGATCCTGAAGGCTGTGTTGAGCTTTGCTGGGTGGTAGAAAGGAAGACAGGTGTTCAGGCGAGGGGAGGGCTCAGGCAAAGGCCGGGGCAGGAGAGTCTGGCCGTGTTGGGCGTTGGGGCACGTCTGAGCAGGGCCTGGTAGGGCAGGATGGGAGGTGGGAAGGCTCGAAGAGCAGGGGAACCCCGCTGGGAGTGGAGCCTTAGGAGCTGAATACAAGGCCCCTGGGTTAGATCACTGGGGATGCTGGAGAGGCTTTTAGTGGTGCTGAGCGCATGAGGCCAAAGTTCTTGGCATTCCTGCACTGCTTGCCTCCCTCAAACATTGGACGTGATGGCCAGGAAGGGGATTTTGGGGGACGGGACAGCCCATGCAAAGGCCTGACAGTTCGACCAAGCCCACCTTTCCCAGCAGGAGCCCGTGGTGTCCTGCTGGAGTTAGAGGGCAATGCATGCTGGCTTGGTTCTCCTCAAACCCGCCTCCCACTCCCTGTTTCCCACAGGGTGCAGCCCTGGAGTGTAGTTTTGGGCTGGAGGAGATCTTCGAGGCTGTGTGGGTGAATGAGTCTGTTGTACGCTGTGACCAGGTGGTGGTGAGTGGGGTGACTCCAGCATGGGCGGAGGGCGGGCCTGCGTTAAGTCCAGATGCTGTACCCCTCACCCCACCCTGCCTCTCTCTACCTTCTGGTTCCCCCATCCCCAGCAGCCCCAACTTCATCTGCCTCCATGACACCCATCCCCAGCAGAGCCCCAGGCATTGCCCATGCCCCCTATGCTCTTTTCTGCCCTTTTGCAGCTGCACACGACCCGGAAGAGCCAGGTGTTCCCGCTCAGCCTCCAACTAAAGGGGCGGCCAGCCCGATTCCTGGACAGCCCTGAGCCCATGACAGGTGGGCACCCCCACCCGCCCCACATGGCCTCGGGGCCTCAGTGCAGTGGGTGGGGCTCAGCCTTGTGCGACTCATTCCAGTGGTTGCCCCAAAGCCGCAGATGTCCCACCCCATTGTTCTCCAGCACACACACAGCCTCATATCCCAGCCCTGCCATGCCATGCCAGGCTCCAGGCCTTGGGGTCTCCGTGCATAGTTTCCCCTGCCTTCCTGGGCCTGATCGTCCCCATAGGAAACAGGACACAGTCCCTCTGCAGAGCTTGTAAGGACCTGATGAGCCAGGGCTCGCCCAACCTTGAGCGTGGCATCTGGGGTGTGGTCAGCTCCCCTCGCGTGGCAGCTGTGCAGTTGCTGTGACTGTCTGTGTTGGGTCCACTCTCCAGGGGCTCCTCTGTTCATGGGGAGTCTCAGGCATCCCTGGTGGACGTGGTGCCCTCCAGATTCCCACCATGAAGGTCCCAGAACGGCCCTGCATACCCAAGGTCCTGGAGAACCCTCCCTGCCCTCCTCTTTGGGCTACTTGGAGGGTTTGAAGCCCCAAAGTACTCATAGTCCACATTACTCAGGGATCCCCAGCATCCTAGGGCCCCGCCGGGGTTGATCAGACCCACTGAGGTCTGGGTGGGATCTGGCTTTACCACCCACAGGCCTCGTGAGCTCAGGCGAGTCCCTCCTGTCTGAGCGTCAGCCTCTTCTCTGTAAAGTGAGGCTGACCTGAGGCTCCCAGCTGGAGTCTCTGTGAGGGGAAGGAAATCAATGAAGCAGGGGCTGCACTGTGCTCAGCACAGGCCCCAGGGGTTTGGGGAAGGGGCTAAGAACCTCAGGGGATCCTGACCCCCAGAATCAGGACTTCCTCTGGGTGGGGCACCACAATGATGGGGCGCAGACCTCTTGACAGTTGTTGTGTGTGGAGGGCACAGCGGTGTTGGGGCATGCACCGCAGAGCGGGGCTGACCGAGCTGCCCCGTGTCTCCCCAGTCATGGTCTATAACTGTGCCATGGGCAGCCCCGACTGTTCCCAGTGCCTGGGCCGCGAAGACCTGGGTCACCTGTGCATGTGGAGTGATGGCTGCCGCCTGCGGGGGCCTCTGCAGCCCATGGCTGGCACCTGCCCCGCCCCCGAGATCCACGCGGTAAGCATGCCCAGTGGAGGCACGTGGCACCCGCACTCCGGCACGGCGCATGCGCAGTGCCCTCGAGGGTCCCACTTCTTGGGGACCCAAACGGCACATACACCGACACATGGGTGCAGTATCACCTGTGAACAAAAGGAAGTGCTCTGCCTCACAGAGCTGATGTTTCAGTGGGGGAGGTGGACAGTAATAAATAAGGAAATGAATAAATTATAGAAGGCATTGGAAGTGTGGCGTGGAGGAGACACCGAGGGCTGAATGTTGTTAGTTTCAGGGGATACCATGATCACTAAAGCCACCAATGACATGGCCAAACATTGCTCCTGGAAGCTGACCTCAGCATCCTCCAGGAGACCCCCTAAGTAGCGTCCCCAGGCCCACGTGGGCTCAGTAATGCACACCCACATCCTCCTTGCCAGCACAGTGACCTGCCAAGTGGCCACAGTCCCAGCCCCACCTGAGCCTCCAGACCTTCCTCTAAGCAGTGGGTCTGCACGGCTGTGCCCTGCTGGGTGCCTGTGACTGTGGGCAGAAGCCTGCTGGCCTGCAGCCTCAGATCCCATTCGCCCCTCTCTCGGGTCACCTGGCAGATTGAGCCCCTGAGTGGCCCGTTGGACGGTGGGACCCTGCTGACCATCCGAGGAAGGAACCTGGGCCGGCGGCTCAGTGACGTGGCCCACGGCGTGTGGATTGGTGGTGTGGCCTGTGAGCCACTGCCTGACAGATACACGGTGTCGGAGGAGTGAGTAGCCACGGTGCCCCCACCTACCTTCTCCAGCAGTGCCAGCCTCTGCTCTGTCCTCCTCACTCCTCCCTCCCCATCCTCTGTCCTCACTCTGCTGCTTTCTGGAAGACTGTTGCTTCGTGGCCTCCAGGCCTGTGCCGAAGCCATTCCCACCACACATCCTGCCGTTTCTGCTTGGGGCATCTGCTTTATCCCTCCAGCTCTGGCTCTGATGCCCACTCCTCTGGGAAGCCCTCACAGGCTGCCCTAGCACAGCCCTTCTTCCACCTAAGCCTTGCTCTGAGGAAAATCATTTGCAATTAAAAAGGCTGGGGCTACTGGCATGGTTTAGAGATCTGTGACTGGCCCAGAGGGGCCGTAGGAAATACGCGTGAGCAGAGACTGAACTGGCTTTCCTTTTGGGAGGCCGTGCATCAGGCGTGTGGAAGAGCCGTCATCTACCAGCCCAGCAGACGTTCTCATGATCAGAGACCCTTTTGTCCCACCCCCGTGTCTTATAGTTGCAGAACTGTGGGAAACTGATGGGGTAAATTATACATAGAAGGCATTGGAAGTGTGGCATGGCGTGGAATGGGGCGATCCCTGAGCCTGGCTCTAGGGTGGCCGTGGGGGCCAAGGACCGCTGGCTGACCACAGCACCTCCCCTCAGGATCGTGTGTGTCACAGGGCCAGCCCCAGGACCACTCTCAGGTGTGGTGACCGTGAACGCCTCTAAGGAGGGCAAGTCCCGGGACCGCTTCTCCTACGTGGTAAGGGGGGGCTGCAGCCCACTGTCCGGCCCGCCCAGCACGCACACTCCCGGGGGCTGGCCCGAGGCCCAAACGCCTGCCTTCCTCCCACAGCTGCCCCTGGTCCACTCCCTGGAGCCTACCATGGGCCCCAAGGCCGGGGGCACCAGGATCACCATCCATGGGAATGACCTCCATGTAGGCTCCGAGCTCCAGGTCCTGGTGAACGACACAGACCCCTGCACGGAGCTGATGTAAGCCTCTGGGCCTGGCCCATCCCTTCCAGCCCAGAGAAATCAATGGGCTTGGGGGCTGGCGGGCTGGAGGTGACATCCTTGAGCCAAGCCTCTCTTGGGTCTTCATTGGCTGTGTCCCCTAAGCCAAGCCCCTTCTCCTCTCTGAGCCTCAGTTTCCTCAGCTGGTAAGAATAGTACCAGTAATTGGAAGAAGGGCTTTGTGCCAGGTATACAGTAGTTGCTCCATAAGTGATAGCTGTAATGAGAATGGTGTTGATTGCACACACACAGATCTTCTGGCTGGCCCAGGGGTGTGGTGAGTGGCAGGGGTGTGGTTGGAGTCTGTTGGCGAAACACCTTTGTCTTTATTATGCACTTATTGTGTACCAGACCCCACTAATGGGCATTGCTGGGACACCAAGAGGAGCACAACATAGACCTCAAGGGAAGGGCAGACATACCCACGGGAAGTAGGAACATCCAGTGGGGCTAGGATTGGGAGAAAAGTCAGTGCCTTCAGGGATCTGGGGAGAGAGACTTCACCAGGGTTGGAGGCGGGAGAGAAGACCTGGGAAGGCTTCCTGGAGGAGGTGGGATGGGGCGGAATTTGGAAGTGTAAGGAAACAGCTGGGCACTAACTGGGCAGAAGATGAGTTGGGACCAGTCAAGGAGGCCTTGAACCCCAGGCCAAGTGCGTGGACTTGTGCCCCAGGTCTCAGGGGCATTGGCGGTGGGTGAGCAGCAGAAGGCAGGCCCTGCTGATAACCTGCTGCTCCCCCCAGGCGCACAGATACCAGCATCGCCTGCACCATGCCTGAGGGGGCCCTGCCGGCTCCGGTGCCTGTGTGTGTGCGCTTCGAGCGTCGGGGCTGCGTGCACGGCAACCTCACCTTCTGGTACATGCAGAACCCGGTCATCACGGCCATCAGTCCCCGCCGCAGCCCTGTCAGGTGAGACTGGCACCCCGCCCTTCCCCCAGGCTCTCTGGGGCTGCAGGTGCACTGATAGGTTTTGCTGTCCCCCGCAGTGGCGGCAGGACCATCACAGTGGCTGGTGAGCGTTTCCACATGGTGCAGAATGTGTCCATGGCCGTCCACCACATTGGCCGGGAGCCCACGGTGAGGCATTCGGGGGCCTGATGGGTGGGAGGGGGTGGCCCAGGCACAGCCAGGGCCCTAACTGACCAGGCCTCCTCCCACTGCATCTCTGTCCCCTCTTCCTCCCTCTGCCTCTGTGTCTCCTCAAACCCCACTCCCCACCGTTTCTCCATGCCCATCTGTCCATCCTGCATCCCGGCCTGGGCCCCTGGCTCTCCTGCACCAGCTCTGCAAGGTTCTCAACTCCACCCTCATCACCTGCCCGTCCCCCGGGGCCCTGAGCAACGCATCAGCGCCAGTGGACTTCTTCATCAATGGGCGGGCCTACGCAGACGAGGTGGCTGTGGCTGAGGAGCTACTGGACCCCGAGGAGGCACAGCGGGGCAGCAGGTTCCGCCTGGACTACCTCCCCAACCCACAGTTCTCTACGGCCAAGAGGGAGAAGTGGATCAAGCACCACCCCGGGGAGCCTCTCACCCTCGTTATCCACGTGAGCACCAAAGGGGCCGGGGTAGGCGGGGGCAAGCGAGCCAGCCTCAGCTGTGGGCCTCGGGAGCACTTCCCCATGAGCATCCTCCCCCTTTGCACCCACAGAAGGAGCAGGACAGCCTGGGGCTCCAGAGTCACGAGTACCGGGTCAAGATAGGCCAAGTAAGCTGCGACATCCAGATTGTCTCTGACAGAATCATCCACTGCTCGGTCAACGAGTCCCTGGGCGCGGCCGTGGGGCAGCTGCCCATCACAGTGAGTGGATGGGGCGCCGGAGCAGGGCAGACCTGGCCCCACCCCTGGCCCATCTGCCAAGCATCTGCCCCTCACCCAGCACCTGAATTCACTGAGCGTTTTCACGCTCAACAGCTCAGTCCAGCAAAGCAGAGCTTTACATCCCCACTTGACATATGAGGAAACTGAGGCCCAAGAACTTAGTGACTTGCTTGAGGTCAGTGATGGGCCCCATCTGGACCTGGACCATCAGAAACCATAAGAAATTGTCCCTGTCCCCCTTGGCGTCTATCCTAGAGCCTGGGCTGCCAGGCACCATGTAGAGGCAGGGGAGCAGGAGGAGCAGAGAGGGGCCAGAACACTATCTCCTTGCATGTCTCCTGGGATGGGGAGCTCACTCTCTCCCAAGCAGCGTGTGCCACCCCAGGATGGCTCTGACTGGGAAAGCTTTCTTTCACCTGCACCTCAGTCCCAGTCCTGCACTCTGAGTCCTCATACCTCACCTACCCCCTGGTCCCAGGGCAGCCTTGCAGATACTTGGGGACAGCAGCCAGGCCCCGTGAACTGCTTCCTCTTGCTCACTCACTACTCCTCCCAGGCTGTAATGATAATCACAGCCCCCTGCATTGAGCCACCTCTGTGCCAGGCCCAGGACCAAGGGCTTGACAAGCCCTCATTTAGCCTTCCCAGTGTCCCCAGGAGGTGGACATTGTTATCTCTATGTTATCAGTGTGGCACCTGAGGCTCAGAGAGGTTAGGTAATTTACCCAGGGCCACACAGCAAGTGAGGAGCAGAACTAGAGTATAAGTCCAGGAAAGCTACAACCCCCTTCCCCAACCTCTGCACAGATCCAGGTAGGGAACTTCAACCAGACCATCGCCACACTGCAGCTGGGGGGCAGCGAGACGGCCATCATCGTGTCCATCGTCATCTGCAGCGTCCTGCTGCTGCTCTCCGTGGTGGGTAAGGAGCCCCACCCTCAGGACACCTTGGAGGGCAGGCTTGCCACCTTGCCCCAGCCCCTCTGAAGATTGGCAGATGGGAGAAGGCAGGATGGGATGGGGCACAGCTTGAACAAAGGCTTGGCCATGGGAACAGGTTAGGCACCCAGAGGTTGGGGGAGGTGTGCCCTGGCTCCAGCACCAATGGGTAGAAGATGTTAGGTGGCCAGGGGATATGCTAGGCCCACGCCCAGGTCCCTGAATCTCAAGCAGAGAAATTTGGAACCATGTTCTCCAGTCAATAGAGAGCTACTGAAGGTACTTAAGAGAGGATTACTCAGGAAAAATTAACCTACATGTCTGGTGGGCTATACCACTGTTAAAATAATGGTCAATAAAGTAATAGACTCGATGTAGCAGAGAAACTGGAGCCATCATACGCTACTAGAGGGAATACAAAAAAGCGCAGCTGCTTTGGAAAACATTTTGGAAGTTTCTTAGGATGTGAAACATAGAATTACCCTATGACCTATGACCCAGCAATTCCACCCCTAGCTATCTGCTCAAGAGAAATGAAAACGTAGCCACACAAAAACTTGTACACACGTTTATAGCAACATTATTTATAATAACCAGGAAGTCAAAACAACCCAAATGTCCATCAACCAATAAATGAATAAATGAAATATGATCTATTCATACAATGGAAAATTATTTATCCGTAAGAAGGAGTGGAGTACTGATCCATGCCACCATGGGCAGGCACCTTGACAATATTACACTAACCAAAAGAAGACTCACCAAAGGCATATTGTATGATGCCATTTATATGAAATGTTTAGAATAGGGAAATTCATAGAGACAGAAAGCTGAATGGTGATTGCCAGGGACTAGGGAGAACACGAATGGGGAGTGACTGCTGCATGGGTATGGGTCTTCTTGGGGCAGCAAAAATGCTCTAAAATTAGTGGTGATGGTTGCACAACTCTGTGAATATACTAGAAACCATTGAATTAGGCCAGGCTCAGTGGCTTATGCCTGTAGTCCCAGCACTTTGGGAGGCCAAGGTGGGTGGCTCACTTGAGCCCAGGAGTTCAAGACCAGCTTGGGCAACATGGCAAAACTTTATCTCTACAAAAAATACAAAAATTACCTGGGCATGGTGGCATGAGTCTGTAGTCCCAGCTACTCAGGAGGCTGAGGTGGGAGGATCACCTGAGCCTGGGAGGTGGAGGCTGCAGTGAGATGTGATCGCGCCACTGTACTTCAGCCTGGGTGCCAGAGTAAGACTGTCTCAAAAGAAAAAAAGAAAGAAAAGAAACCATTGAAGTATACACTTTAAATCACTGGATTATATGGTATGTACGTTATTTCACAATAAAGCTGTTTTATTTTTAAAGTGAGTATATTCAATGCAGAAAATTTTTGGAAAAACTGAAAGATGATAAAAGGAAAAAATACCCATCATTAATACCCTGTGTATTTTTGTATCTTCCCTCCCAGTCTCTTTTCTGAAAATACTATATATTAATAGATATTTTAATACATTATGTATATATTCCTCCCCACCCCAGGAAAGGTTATAATGTAATATTGCTTTGTAATCTGCTTTTAAAAGTTTCTTAATTTACAAGTAACACCTGGTCATTGTAGAAGGAATAGAAAATGCTCAAAAGCAGAAAGTAAACCGAAGTCACCCAGAATCCTCCCACCCAGGAAAGCCACTGTTAACCACTATTTCACACACACGTATTCCTGTTTCTTTTTTTTTTTAACGGGGCTAGACAAATTCTAACAGAGCTGTAACACTACACACTTCTTTTTCTAAGGACGGGTCATCAGGCATTGCTTTGCTGGCCATTCCCCAAGCCCTCTGTCCACGGGAGAGCTCCCCGCAACTCCCCACCCCCCACCCCAACCCTGCCCAGGAGGGAGGACTGCAGGGCCTCCTCCCACACCCTGCCCAGAGGAGCTGGAGCGGAGGCCAGAATACAGCAGGCGCCAATAAAGGCTTTCCAAAGGGCACCAGAGGCCTGACCTGCCTCTCCACTGCCCGCAGCCCTGTTCGTCTTCTGTACCAAGAGCCGACGTGCTGAGCGTTACTGGCAGAAGACGCTGCTGCAGATGGAGGAGATGGAATCTCAGATCCGAGAGGAAATCCGCAAAGGTAGTGGGCGGGGACCCTGCAGGGCTGGGCCTCAACTTTCCCTCCTAGGGGATGGGTTCTCGGGCCGCTCACGGCTGTCCGTGTGTCCGCCAGGCTTCGCTGAGCTGCAGACAGACATGACAGATCTCACCAAGGAGCTGAACCGCAGCCAGGGCATCCCCTTCCTGGAGTATAAGCACTTCGTGACCCGCACCTTCTTCCCCAAGGTCAGCCCGAGCCTGAGCCTGCCCTGAACCTGTGCCAGCCACCTCAAGGCAACTCGACCTCTCTGAGCCCTGCCAGCCTATAGGGTCCCTTGAGCAGTGCCAAACCTGCACAGCTGTCCGCAGCCGTCCTGGCCACTTGCCCTGGCCTGCCACGGGGAGAAGGGTTGGAGGCAGATTCTCCACTGTCATTCTCTGCTCACTTGATGTTTAACAGTCCATATGGAAGCCAGCTGCAGCCCCGCTGTCCTGGCCAGCTGGGCCTGCCTCTCCCCTTTTCAAGGTGGGGCAGAAGCGGCCAGGGCTGTCCCAGGCCAGCCTCTCTCCTTCCTGTGCCTCTTCCCAGCCAGGCTTCCCTTGGTCTCTACACTCCCTCCTCCTGTCCACTGGACTCCTGCCCCATCCCTTCCATGCCTCTCATGCCTCCCCTTGCCCTTCCAGGGTCCACTACCCTCACTCTACCTCCTAGTGGTACCACCCTCTCTCCCCTGTCCACACCATTCCCCACACAGTGGCCAAAGCAAGCCCATGTTTGACTACATCATTTTTCACGAAACCCTCCAGTAGCTTTTCCCAGCCTCAGGCTAAAGCTCAGACTCCCAGCCTTTCTGCCTCAGTTTCCCCCATTGCACATGGAGCTGCTTTTGCTTCCCCTTAAGTCTTGTGCTGTCTTGTGTGGCCACACCCCTGGAATTCCACAGCCCCCAGGCTTGGCCCACTGCCTCTTAGTCCTTTATGGGGAGCTAATTCCGTGCCAGTTTCCCCCAGCAGCCCAAGCCAGTGCCCCTTTCTGTGTGAGTGACCTTTCCATGCCAGCAGGGGGTGTCCAGCCCCGCTGAGATGCTGGGGGTCTGCCTCTGCAGTGTTCCTCCCTTTATGAAGAGCGTTACGTGCTGCCCTCCCAGACCCTCAACTCCCAGGGCAGCTCCCAGGCACAGGAAACCCACCCACTGCTGGGAGAGTGGAAGGTGAGTACCCCACGACCCACACACAGTGGGCTGCTTCAGGGCAACCCTGCTCCCCCCTGGGTCCCCTTTCCAGTTCATCTAATGCATTGATCCCTGTCATGCGGAGTTGGGAGGCATCTGCCATTGTAAGGTACTGAGCCCTCCATCCCAGGAGGCATTCAGGCAGCCATTCAGGGTATTATAAGTGCTGCCCCCGCAGGCCAGGTAGAGCAGACAGAGGATTGGGCCCCCCTGTACACCCCACTCAACCTGCTTAGAAAATGGAAGGTGAGAGTCCTCCACACTGGGATGCCAGGTTACCTCCAGGCACCCTTACCCTTCTCTGAGCCCCACTTTTCAATTCAACCAAGCTATTGTTCCCTGTCACAAAGGTTAGGAGGCATCCACCGTGGAAGGTAATGAGCTCCCCATCCCAGGAGGCATACAAGCAGCCGTCGTAAGCACTGGCTGTTAGGCTAGGCAGGGACACTGGGCCCCTCTGGACACCCCATCACCAGTTGCTTCCACAGATTCCTGAGAGCTGCCGGCCCAACATGGAAGAGGGAATTAGCTTGTTCTCCTCACTACTCAACAACAAGCACTTCCTCATCGTCTTTGTCCACGCGCTGGAGCAGCAGAAGGACTTTGCGGTGCGCGACAGGTCAGGCTGTGACAGACTGGGGTGGGGTAGGGAAGAGGAGCCTGTCCAAGGCCACACAGCATCAGGTCCTGGGTCCTGGGGCTCTGGGGCTCTTGACACCCCCATATTCCAGCCCTTCCTGGGCCGGGATGCCCAAGACCTTGGCTCACGGGGCACGATGGTTGCTGTGGACGTAGAAGAAGGTGGCTGTTTCTCCAGGAGGATTCTAGCCCCACTCACCCCTCGCAGGACCCACCCACACAGGCACTCCTGGGATCGATGGGCCCGGGGATGAGGCGGCACTGAGACCCTGGGACCCACAGCTCCTAGGGCCTCAAGGTGCAGTTGACACCTGCCTCCCGCTCACAGGTGCAGCCTGGCCTCGCTGCTGACCATCGCGCTGCACGGCAAGCTGGAGTACTACACCAGCATCATGAAGGAGCTGCTGGTGGACCTCATTGACGCCTCGGCCGCCAAGAACCCCAAGCTCATGCTGCGGCGCACAGAGTCTGTGGTGGAGAAGATGCTCACCAACTGGATGTCCATCTGCATGTACAGCTGTCTGCGGGTGAGGCTGCCTGGGGACAGACAGAGCCCAGGCGGGGGACGTGGCAGGGACTCAGCGGCAGTGACCCCACGGCCTCCCAGGCCTTCCCTGGCACCCTCAGGCCAGCTCTGCCAGGAGGGAGTGTTGCATGAGACAGGCCAGGCCCGTAGGACCTGTTATGCAGAGAGGGGAGCCATGGCCCCGGGGAAGCCTGGCTGGCTTGCTGCAAGGGCTCAACGGATGCTTGGGGCATAACAGAGGTTGTGTCAGGGGCCTTGTCCCATCTGTGGTTTTCTCAGTCATCCACCCTTCCCTGCTCTGGATTCAGGAGATGAAATCAGCCCCTGGCTGGCCCTTGAGGCTCTCCCAGCCCTAGGCTAGGCGAGACGTGGAAACAAAATACAGGGTGGCCAGTGCCTCGCAGCAGAGCTCAGCTCACGAGGCCTCCCTCTGTCTGAAGGCTTCAAGGTGGCTTCCTGGAGCAGGCAACCCTGTGCTGAGACCTAAGAGAGTGAGCCAGGCGAGGAGTGGTGGGGAGGGTGCTCCAGGCATCGGGTACAGCACAAGGGCAGAGGCCGGGAGGAGGGGATGTTCGTGGAAGGAATAGAAGGAAGGCCAAAGAATCTTCTGGATGAGAGCGGAGGCTGGGAAGAGGGTGGGCCCGGTAACCAGGGCCTCCTGCACTCTGCCAGAAGGACCCCCATAAGCTCTCTTCGCAGAGCAAGGGTTGCTTAGCCTCTTGTCCTGTCCCACTGTCCAGCTGCCCTATGGTGGCAGAGGCTAGAGGGCTGCCTGGAGGATTGTGGGAGAAAGGCAAAGGCCTGCCTGGAGCCCAGAACCGGGGCCTCGGATGTTCTGTTTTTTGTTATTAATTTTTGAAGAGATGGGGGTCTTGCTTTGTTGCACAGGCTGGTCCCAAACTCCTGAGCTCAAGCAATCCTCCCGCTTTGGCCTCCCAAAGTGCTGGGATTACAGGGGTGAGCCACTGCACCCAGCCAAGATGTCCTGGGCTTGAGTCCAATCTTTGGCACAGCCCAGCTGTGTGACTCTGGGCTACTCATTGCCCTCTGTGGGCCTTGGTTTCCTTCTGTCAAATGGGGCCTCTGCCCCTGAGCCTGGGGCTTGAGGGCCAAGTAGCCTGGGGGAGCCCCACGGCTCCTCCTGGGGGAAGGGGGTAGTGGGGTGGAGCAGAGGCAGGGCCTGGGAGGGGCCATTGGGGTGCCTCCGCCTTCTGCGGGCTGCCTCACTGTGGGCCATCAGGAACCACAAGGGCCACTGTGGACCCTGGACCTCACTCCCCTGGCTTCTTTCTGTGGCCTCAGCCAGGCCTTCCCCTATGAGCCTGTTTCCTCCTCTAGGAAGCAGGGAATCAGTGCCTCCCACGCCCCAGACCTGGAGAATTGGACCAGGACTTGGGCTGGCAGGCTGCCTTCGTAATCTTTGCCAAATCTGCCTAATACTATTATGTACTTAATTTTTCTTTAAATCAATTTTTGTGGATAGTTAAGTAAAACTATCCCAGTGGAACACCTGGGTCCCTTGCTGGGCAATGGCCTTGAGAATCAGCTCATGGCTGTGGGTCCAGCAGAGCCACTGCCTGGAGGGCCACCCTTGGAGATGGGCAAGAGCAGGGACATTGAGCCCCATTCCTCCTGAGACTCCATAGTCATCAGCCTGCAAGTGGGGTCGAGGCCACATCGGTGTTTCGGGTCCACCTAAACTCACACTTGGGGGCCCCCCACTTAGTAGAAAGTCACAGGCTTGGGAGTCAGCCGAGCCAGGTCCGATTCCTGCCCTGCCGCTTCCCAGCTGGGTGATCTTGGGCAGGTCACTTGCCCTCTCTGAGCCTCGGCACTGTTGGCTGCACAGTAAGAATGATACTCCGTATCCGGAAGGGTTGCCGGGATGATGCAATGAATGCACCCACCCACAGCTGGTGGTGTTTAATGAACACGAGCTTAGGGTCCGTGGAGACACCCTGGAGAGGAGAGTGTTGACACCAGGATCCAAAAGGAGACTGTTGGAGGGGTTGGGGGACGGGGGCGTGAAGGTGTTTGGCCCAAAGCATGGGGGCTGGAATACAGAGGGGGCCTTGGCCCTGATACCCCCGTGCCCCTCAGGAGACGGTGGGGGAGCCATTCTTCCTGCTGCTGTGTGCCATCAAGCAGCAAATCAACAAGGGCTCCATCGACGCCATCACAGGCAAGGCCCGCTACACACTCAGTGAGGAGTGGCTGCTGCGGGAGAACATCGAGGCCAAGCCCCGGGTAAGTCGGCAGGGCGGGGAGGGTCCCAGGGCTGCTGTGTCGCCGCCAACGGCATTGACCCAGCCTTCCTCTGCAGGGCCTTGCTGCCTGGGCACTGACATAGTGATGGCAGCAACTCACTGACCTTTCTCTCCCACTCTCCCCCTGCAGAACCTGAACGTGTCCTTCCAGGGCTGTGGCATGGACTCGCTGAGCGTGCGGGCCATGGACACCGACACGCTGACACAGGTCAAGGAGAAGATCCTGGAGGCCTTCTGCAAGAATGTGCCCTACTCCCAGTGGCCGCGTGCAGAGGACGTCGACCTTGGTGGGTGGGAATGGGGGCAGAGACCCCGTGTCAGGCGCTTCAGCCGGGGCTGGCCCCTGCCTTGACGGGAAACACTCCTTTCACCTGGCATGGGTGCATGAATGTGGGGACACTGAGAGGATCCAATGAGGCCCCCTCAGCAAGAAGCTCTTACTCTGTAGGAGACAAGTCCTGCAGTGTGAGTGAACTACGGACAACAGCAAAAAGCCTTCAGGAAAGGCTTCCTAATTCCTAAAGGAGGGATGCTGGAGTAGGGTTGGTTTGTTTGTTTGTTTTTGAGACGGGATCTCATTCTGTCACCCAGGCTGGAGTGCAGTGGCGCAATCTCAGCTCACTGCAGCCTCGACCTCCTGGGCTCAAGTGATCCCCTCATTTCAGCCTCCTGAGTAGCTGGGACTACAGGAGTGCACCACCACATCCAGCTAATTTTACTTTTTGTAAAGATAGTGTCATGCTGTGCTGCCCAGGCTGGTCTTGAACTCCTGGGCTCAAGCGATCCTCCTGCCTCATCCTCCCAAAGTGCTGGGATTACAGGTGTGAGCCACCGCGCGGGGCCTGGAGTGGGTTTTATAGGAGTCTTGGTTAGGCCAAGGGTTTCATCAGCAATTGTAACATGAACAGCCTTGCAGACAAGGCCATTTCCAGAGCTCCTCCTCTGTGCCCTCCACCCTGGCACCTTCTCTTTGTACCCTCACACTCTCCCCCAGCTCTTTCCTGCCCTCCCCATTTTACAGATGGGAAAATGGAGGCTCAGAGAGAGGTATGGCTTGCCTCAGTTTACATGGAGAGAGCGAGAGGCCTCTCCCTATGTGGCTGGGCCGGTACCTACCCCTCAGGCCCAGCTCCCTGCCCGGACCCTGATGGCCTGTCCCTTGTCCCCCAGAGTGGTTCGCCTCCAGCACACAGAGCTACATCCTTCGGGACCTGGACGACACCTCAGTGGTGGAAGACGGCCGCAAGAAGCTTAACACGCTGGCCCATTACAAGGTGCAGCCCTGCCCCCCGCCCCCATTTCCCCACCCTCATGCCCCCACCCCAACCTCCGGCCTCTGACCTCGGCCTCTCCCCTCCCATCAGATCCCTGAAGGTGCCTCCCTGGCCATGAGTCTCATAGACAAGAAGGACAACACACTGGGCCGAGGTAGTGCGGGTGCACGTGGGAAGGGAGCCCAGGCTGCGTGTGGACAGGGGCTTCCATCCCATGCCCCAGTGGGGAAGCTGAGGCTCCGAGAGGCAGGGCTGGCCTGGGCTGAGGCCTCCTTGGTGGGGGCTGGGCGGGGCCAGCCTCCTCTGACCCAGTACTGCTGGGGCAGGGCCCACACCAGGCCTCCTCAAGCTGATTTCCTGCGGCAGCTGGAGAGAGGCCCCGGGAGGGCGGGATGCAGTTCCAGGAGGTCTGGGCAGCAGCCAGGCCAGAAGGGGGGCCAGCATGCCCGTCTCAGCCTTGGGCCATGTCCCTGCCTCAAGTGCCCCCTCCACACCCTCAGACGCCCCAGGCACAGCCTCCTGGCTGCCAGGCCTGCGAGCCCGGGATCCTCTGGGTCTCGGGGTCCCCTTCTAAGGTTGAGAGCAGAGTCTCAGTCTCTCCCAGCAGCCTGGGAATCTGGGCTGGCAGGAGCTCTGGGCTCAGGGGTGGGGTGGGCAAAGGCACCCACCCCCGCCTGCCTGGGGCCCCTCCTCCCCCGTGGCTGCATCTTCCTGTTTCTCTCCACCGCTGTCCCTCCTTCCAAGTCCCTCCATCCCGGGTCACTGTGTGTGTGTCTTTCTCTCTCTGCCTCACTCTGTCTCGCTCGCTGTGTGTCTCTGGATCTCACTTATCTCTCTCTCCGTCTCTCCCAGACTCAGTCTCCCCATGCGTCTCTGCATCTCTGTCTCATTCTCTCTGACTGTCTCTTTGGATCTCTGTCTCCGTTTCTGTTTCTCTCTCCATCTTTCTGTCTCTGCTTCTGTTTCTCTCCCCATCTTTCTGTCTTGTTTCTGTTTCTCACTCCATCTTTCTGTCTTCATTTCTGTTTCTCTCCTCTCCTCTCCCGTGTTTATTTATTGTGTTTTTCCTCTCACAGTGAAAGACTTGGACACAGAGAAGTATTTCCATTTGGTGAGTGCCCAACCTCGGCCCCGGGGGATCCAGCCCCTCAGTGGGTGTGGCCTTGGCTTTCTGTGGCCCTGGGCCTCTTGGGAAAAGTGCTCCCAGCCCTGCGAAAGGCTGGGGGGTGGGGGAGTAGGGATGGGGCCCAGAATCAGGAGGGAACCACAGCCCTTGTGTGCTAAGAAGCATGGCAGAGCCAGACCTCCCACAGGCGGCCGAGGATGGGGCCTGGTGCGGACACTGACCACTGCCCGGCCTCCCAGGTGCTGCCTACGGACGAGCTGGCGGAGCCCAAGAAGTCTCACCGGCAGAGCCATCGCAAGAAGGTGCTCCCGGAAATCTACCTGACCCGCCTGCTCTCCACCAAGGTGAGTCCGGCCTCAGTCTCCCCTCTGTGCAGTGGGTACAAGGCTCCAGCCCCAGCTCCAGAGGGTCATTGCTCAGGGCCAGCTGTGCACCCGCGGCTGGGAGAGGGGTGTGAGTTCTTCCTGTTTCCCCTGTGGGGCTGGAGGGGCAAGAGGCTGAAGGCTTAGGGTCCCACTTGAGGAGGCATTTCTCACAGCCAGGAAAAATGCCTGACAGAGACTTCTATGTTAGCCCACGTAACAGGGTACAGCAGAGGCCCAGAGGGATCAGTGATGTCCCCAAGGCCACGTGGCTCAGTGGCAGCGCCGGCACCCCACAGCCCATACTCTGGCACTTCCAGTTCTCGACTCCATGTGCCAGTGCCTCGATTAGTCCTTTCAACGCCTCTGGGAGGCAAGTGAGCCAGAGAGGCTCGGTGACCAGCCTGATGCCATGTGGCTTCCTCATTCAGCAGCCTGGCATTTCAAGCTCCGCAGAGCCACCAAGGGTGCCCACTAGCCCTCTGCACGTGGCCCGGGGCTGACGGCGGCCACCCCACTCCCCCGCAGGGCACGTTGCAGAAGTTTCTGGATGACCTGTTCAAGGCCATTCTGAGTATCCGTGAAGACAAGCCCCCACTGGCTGTCAAGTACTTTTTCGACTTCCTGGAGGAGCAGGCTGAGAAGAGGGGAATCTCCGACCCCGACACCCTACACATCTGGAAGACCAACAGGTGGCGGGTGGGGGGGCCGTGTGGACTTCACTGTGCCACTGGGGCCCCTGTGGCAGGGGGTTCAGAGTCTAGTCTTCTGGCCTCGCCTGCTTGGGGTCAAGCCCTCCTCTGCCATTTCCCAGCTGTGTGTTCTCGGATGAGTGACTTAGCCTCTCTGTGCTTCAGTTTCCCCTCCACTGTAAAATGCGACCCATGTTAATGGTGGGAATTAACTAGAAGAGTGCCCAGAAGCATGGTCTAGGTGTTGCCCTTACTATCATTCTCCCGCACCCCTCTCAGGTGGGCACCATCAGCTCCACTTCACAGATAAGCACACTGAGGCTCGGAGAAGCAGCACCTGCTCAAGACCACACAGCCTGGGACAGTAGAGCCAGGCTCGGCCCTACATTATCTGAATCTCTTACCCAGTTGGTAGCCCTCCTTTGAGGCACCTCTTAGCTTGTCGGGGTCATGCACCCCCACAAGAAGTTGCTGGAAACCCAGCCTGACCCTCAGGAAGAATACCACCAGCCCAGGCGCCTCTGTGCAGGGCAGCAGCTTCCTAGAGCTCTGGGGGTACACATGCCCAGGCTGCTGAGTCACTGGGTGGCCTGAGGTGGGGGTGGGGGTGTTGCTCACCCTCTCTGGCCTCTTGAGGACAAGGCCAGAGCTCCAGGCCCTGCCCCCCACAGCCCTGCCACAGCTGCTCTGCTAATGTCGGACTTCCTGCTGCCTGCAAGGGTTCAGGGAGGAGCCAGGGGTGCCCGGGGGCCGGCACCTGGTTCTAATGAGAACCAGGACCTGACTGGAGGCTCAGGAGGGGGTTGGGGGGTACAGCTAAGCCCTGTAGCTCCTGCCTTGCTCCAGCAGGAAACCGGGCTCTCAGCCCCACTGCACCCCAGCTGGCCAGGGATAGGCAAACTAAGGTTCCCAAAGGTCACATCTTGTGACAAGGCTCCAACCTCAGGCCCTTGAGGGACAAAGCCAGCTCTCTCCTCCACAACTGTCCCTCGACTGCTTCCTACCCCACCCTACCCTCACTGTCTTTGTCACCCTACCCCACAGCCTTCCTCTCCGGTTCTGGGTGAACATCCTGAAGAACCCCCAGTTTGTCTTTGACATCGACAAGACAGACCACATCGACGCCTGCCTTTCAGTCATCGCGCAGGCCTTCATCGACGCCTGCTCCATCTCTGACCTGCAGCTGGGCAAGGTCAGCTGTTCCCAGGACCAGGCCAGGCCCATGCACAGGGCCAGAGTGGGGTGCCGACCATGGGTAGCCTCCTCGACTCTCTGAGGCTGAGCTCAGAGATCTTCCTGGGAGGGGAACCAAAAGATCTCAGGTCTAGGGGATGTGGGATGAGTGACTCATTCAGACAGGGAGACACCTAGAAGCCAGTACCTTCCATCAGAAACTCTGTATCGCTGCAGACCAACTGCACATGCTGCAGCTGTGCCTGGCACTGGCTTTGAACACAGGCCTGAGAACCCGGTGTGGGAAAGCCAGTATGAGCTTGGACAACCTGCTTGGTCAGGCACAACATCATCTGAAAACCGGGCCAGGCTCTGGGCAGTAGCCCCTGAAAGTCAAAAGCCATTCAAGCGAGCATTCAGTGAAGGGGTGGGCAGAGGGGTGATGGGTGGCTAGGAGCTCTGAGATTCATGCGGTGTGTTGGGGGCACACAAGGCTGTGTCTGGCTTTAGAGGTTGAAGATGAAAGAGGATGGCCTTCCAGGCAGAGAGAACGGCGCAGGCAAAGACAGGGAGGCAGGAAAGCAGCCGGTTGCTGTGAGCAGGGATGAGATTGTATCATTAAAGCTGGCACTGCAGGATTGGTCCAGGTCGTGTGTGACCCTGCATTTAGCCCACGCATTTCAGAGACGGACCACGGGAAGGAGAAAATGCCATCGCTCCACTACTACTCACGTACTGCCTCCGAAGGCAGGGTGCCCGTGACTGACAAAGAACTGGGAGTGTTCTTGGCACTTCTTTCAGGCGTTAGGAGCATGTGGTGGGAAATATTCCACTGAGCCAGCACTCAGGCTTCCAGGAATCCTAGCCACCAAGACCTATCACCCTGAGAAGGACACATCCTTGTTACGTGGAATGGGCTGCGTGCAGTGAAGAGCTGGCATGCCCGTGCACTTTTCCCCTGAAAGAAGTAGGGCCCCTCCCCACCCACATCATTGTCCTAACAGTCCTGGGGAAAGTAGGCGGGGCAGACAGAGCACAGTGAGGAGCCCCTGGTCTGGGGCCGGCTGAGTGCGGGGACGTTCAGTGACCGGGTGAGACTCTTTGGGCCTCGGGGGCCTGCTAAGGTCACTTATGTGGCAGGAGGGATGAGGGCTCATCCAGAAAACGACCAGATCCGTCCTTTCTCCAGCAGCCATCTAACACCCTCGCTCTTCTCTGCCCAGGATTCGCCAACCAACAAGCTCCTCTACGCCAAGGAGATTCCTGAGTACCGGAAGATCGTGCAGCGCTACTACAAGCAGATCCAGGACATGACGCCGCTCAGCGAGCAAGAGATGAATGCCCATCTGGCCGAGGAGTCGAGGGTGCGGTGGCTCGGCGGCGGGGGATGGGGGCCTGAAGAGCTGAGGGATCGGGGGTCGGGGGCTGGGCCTCAATGCCTCCACTGGAGTAAGGGCAGGGAGCGCAGAGGGCATTTCAGAAGTGGCTGTGGCCTCTTGCTGGCCTGCAAATTCGTCATGCATTTTCCCAGAGTTTGAGGAGCGGGGGCAGGAGAGCACCCTCTGGATGGAGAGGAGATTGGACTTCAGGGTCCGGGAAGCCGTCTTCGTCCATGGGACTTGAGGGGCCTCATCGCTGAACTGTTCTGTGGGGGCCGTGGGGAGTTGGGGATTGTGTGCAAGCAGCTGGCTTTGCTGGGACTAGGCTCAGCTTTGACCGCTGGGCTAACCTCCTCCCCATCCTGCCTCCTTATAGAAATACCAGAATGAGTTCAACACCAATGTGGCCATGGCAGAGATTTATAAGTACGCCAAGAGGTATCGGCCGCAGGTGAGTGCCCCAGGGTGAGGCACCTGCCCTCGGGGTAGGTGAGCTTCCTACTCAAGGACACACATCTCAGGGTGCTTGCCCCTAATGGACGGATGTCACTCGTGGTAGACGTTCAGGGGTGTGTTCTCTCCCACGAACTGAGGCAGGGCTACCGGCCATGGCCCGGCTGACTCCGCTGCTCCCCTCAGATCATGGCCGCGCTGGAGGCCAACCCCACGGCCCGGAGGACACAACTGCAGCACAAGTTTGAGCAGGTGGTGGCTTTGATGGAGGACAACATCTACGAGTGCTACAGTGAGGCCTGAGACACATGGAGAGTTGGTCAGGCTGCTGCTGGGAGAAATGGACGCCCACTGGGCCTCAACTTGATCTTCTACCCCGTGCCTGTGACTCAGACTGGGAAATACTGAGCAGAGACGGCTGGGGCGGGGGCAGGAGGAGGGGCTGCTCTCTGAGACAGGGGCGCCCCCGCCTTGACCCCTGGGCACCTCCATCCCCTCCCACCTGTCCCCAGATCAGTCTCTGGGATGGAGGCCAGAGAGCTGGTCAGGCTCCCCCATCTGCCCAGCACGGCCTGCACTGTGCCCACCCACTTGCTCCACAACGTCCAGTTGGTCCTGCTGCCAAGAGCCCCGTGCATCCAGGCGGCCAAGCACAAACTGGGGGAGAGGAGGCCGCCAGCCCGGAGGCTGCAGCCCAGAAACTCTACCTCATCCACACTGGTGCAGGGAGCCCTCCTTGAACTGACCTTTGATTGGTTTCTGCTTCAACTACCAAAATGTTATCTCCACTTCCCCCTCACCCGTAGAGGATCCTGGCCACAGACAGTTTCAAGTAGTGTCAGATTTTTGTTGCTTGGGCGGCTGTTGGTAGAGTGGGCAGTGCCCGCGCCATGGGGTGCTCTGTGGGCTTCTCCAGGAGCAGGGAGGGTGGAGGGGAGGGATGGGGGGCACAGGAGCTGGGAGCCCCGTCTCCAGGAAAAGGAGAGGGGTTAAGATGCACCGAGGCTGTAGCTGGGCTACTTGATCTTGCTGAAAGTGTTTCTAAAGATAGCACCACTTTTTTTTTTAAAGCTTTTATATATTAAAAAACGTATCATGCACCAACTGTGAATAGCTGCCGCTTGCGCAGAGGACCCGGGGAGGGGTCCCGAGAGGCTCCCCATGCAACACTGGAAATGACTGTTCCAGAGAGCGGGCAGACCTGGCAGAGCGCCCCTGGCGCCTGAGACTACCACCCACTCCGTTCCTGCCAGAAACGACCCTCTGTGGCCGATGGGCCATGCGGGCCCCTCGCAGCCAACTCAGCCAGTGTTGGGACTGGCTCAGAGCCCATGGGGGCTGGAGGGGGGCAGCTGGGACTCTGGAATCTTCTTTATAATAAAAGCCTTACGGACAAACCTACTGTGGGCTCCAGCCTTTGTCCTGAGATAGCCAAGCGGGAGAATGGGCAGTTTCTTTACCAGTTTGTGAGAGAGAGGAGGGAGGGAGCCTGCCGTCCCTCCTGTCTCAGCTGCACTCTTGAGGTTTGGGCAGACACCTGACTAGCTTCTGAGAAGGCAGTCAGAGGCCAGGAGATGAAACGAGACGGTGCAGGCTGCATGCATGCTGTGGGCCCGGCCCAGAGCTGCCATTCCTTAAGCTCTGAGGACACCCCGGGACCTCCAGGAAGATTTCACAGCTGCTGTGTGCTGCCTGCAACTGGGTGGGCCCTGCTCCTAACCTCATCTCTAACAAGCCCGTCAGGAATGTGCTAGCATCCCTGTATGACAGACGCAGCAACTTGAGGCTCAGCACAGCTGAAGCAATTCTCAAGGTCACACAACCAGGAAGGGACAGAATAAGGACCAGGTCCCATGGTCCTTCCGGGCCAGAGTCTCCACAGTGGTCCCCAAAATGGGCGGGGAGGCCAAAGGTGACCACCCTGGAAAGGGAACTGACACTTAACTTACCCCGAATTTCTCATCAAGCTTAAAAAATACGTAGCATTAAGCTCATTTCTCAGACAAGGAAGCAGGCAGTTTAACCCCCAAGCCCAGTTTAACCCTAAACGCTGTTCCCCACAAGTACAGGCTGTTCCTCACCCCTGCCCACAAGAACAATGAACCTGATGCAGACACCCCTTTCCAGCCCTGCTGGCTCCTCTCCAACCCCAGGGAAAGATCTCGAGAGCCAGCTCCAAAGGTACAGCAACTCCACTTAATTTCTTGCTTTTTTGAAGGAAAAATAGTTACACATGTATTTATCAAGAGTAAGAACTAGGACAAAAGATTCATAAAATTTAAACAAAATCCCACAAATACCAGTTCTAAAATTAATGAGAACAGAAAAGTGAGAACAGTAAACAACCTTTTGCTTTAAAAATAGCTTTTTCCTACAGTGGCTTCTGTGTGGAGAGATAGTCTTTATCTTTCACATTTTCTATTCTGAGCATTGATTCCTTCTTATTAAGCAGCAGATTTTCTAATTTAAGTTATCAGCACATTTGATAGCATTTTGAGGGTGAGGGGGGTGGGTGTGATTCTGGAATGAATACACGGTTCCCAGAGAAATGTAGGAAGCACAAAAAGCGTGAAGAAAATAAAAGCTGCCCTAACCGTTTGTGGCGAGCGTCTCTGAGAACGCCAGCCGCACGGGGCGCTTGGATGGGGCGGGGCCGAGGAGTGAACTCAGGATCAGGGTGTGCACACCATTTTGCAACCTGATTTTCCCCCATGCGACAATATGTCAGTAACATCTTTCTATGTCATTAAATATTCCACAGCCTGTCTTAATGTCTGATTAACATTCAGTTCCTCCTTGACGTTTAGAAATGTATTTGCAAATGGAGGAAATCTCTAGTTTCCAGAGTCGTTTCTCAGCGCAGAAGGTGGCCACCTTCCATGAACCAATTATAATCCTTATCTGGGGCTCTGAGGACCTGGCAGCTGTGGGCAGGAGGGAGGTTCCTACCCTTTGAGGGTCATAGGAGGCTAGGGACCCCTGATGTAGCATCCTTAAACTAAACTCCTTTGAAAAGGAAAGAAACCATTGCAGCTAAGGGAGGTAACTTGCCCAAGGTTTCATGGATGCTAGACACCCCCCACCCCTGTCCCCAGCTCATGGACGTGAGATGCCCACTGATGCCCCCCGCACTGCAGGCTGCCTGGGGGTGCCACAGCACTGGGCCAAGCCGTGAATGAGCAGTGGCAGGAGCAGACCCCTCCTCAGGAAGCACCAGCCCGGCCCCATCCCACCATCTGCTCTGGGTGCCCTTCTGGGTCCTGCTGGCAGCCACATTACAGACACCCCAGGGGGGCTGTCAGCACATCTAGGCAAAGCCGGGATTCCAGGAGGAGAGGGTGGGGTGGTGGAGCAGGGGCAGGAAGGGAGCAGCTGATGCCCCATGCTGAGCAGCCTGCTTCCCTTTGTGCCCCGTCTGCCCCCTTCTCAAGTCCTGTGCAGTTTGCCTCTGACTCCCTTTAGTCCACCCCTTCCTTCTCTCTGTCCTCCGTGGCTAGGCTGCCACCTCTCATCAGGACCATATCTCGGCAGCCTCCTGGCACGTGCCAAGTCCTCACCTCAGGAAATGGTCACCCAGCAGTCACTTAGCTATCTAGACCCCAAATTGTGGACTGACTCATCAGTGACCCTTCCTACATCCAATCCATCAGCAGAGCCCGTTCACACCATCTTCAACAGCGATCCAGAAGCTACCACTTCTAACCCTCCCTCTGTGAGCATGTCCTGGCTGGTCACCACCCCCTTCATCTGGGTTGTGGCAGGAGCCTCCTCACAGGCCTGTCTGCCCGCCCACATCCCTGCAGAGACTCTGTTGCTTGCCGTCCTCTAATGGTTCCTTATGACAAAGCCCACCGTGCTTGCCCTTGGCTTACAAGGCCCTGCGTGATCCAGCCGCCATCTACCCTGCAGCCCTTGTTCCAGTGAAAGGAAGGGGATCTGTTTAGAAAGATATATTGCTATGGGACACACCACCCCAGTACCTAGTGGCTTAAAATAACAGCAGTCACTTATTTTGCCCACGAATCTGCAATCAGGGCAGGGCTTGGCAGGAAAGGCTTGTCCCTGTTCCACCAGGTTTCTGCTGGGCCAGCTCAATTAGGGCTGGAAGATGCAGTTCCAACACGCATTCAGATGGTGGCACGTGGTACCAGCTGGTCAGAGAGTTCAGCAGGAGCTGAAAAATGGAGTCCTCAGTTCCTCTCCACAAGCTGCATGGGCTTTCCCATAGAGTGGTGGCCAAGTTTGAAGAGTGAGTATCACAAAACAAAAAGTGTCCTCAAACACAAGAAGTAGAAGCTGCCTTAAGGTGGGGCCCAGAAATTATCACAGCGTCATTGTCACCAAATTCTACTGGTCAAGTAATCATGGAGCCCAGAGTCAAGAGGTAGGGACACAGAGCCTGTCTCTCCGTGTGAGGAGTGCCGCAGATGTTTTTAAAGCACCTTGGACCTCGTCTCCCATCCCTGTGCTCCTCTTTACTGGGCTCTAGCCACACAGACCTTCCTGCAGCTCCCAGCGTGAGGAGCATGTTCCCACCCCAGGGCCTTTGCATTCACTCTTCCTTCTGCTGAAATGGTACCCCCTCCAGACAGAGATCCTTGCTCAGACAGCCCGTCCAACCCTGTCTAAACTAGCAGCCAGCCCTACCCACCCCGCTGGAGGCCCAGCCCCACCTCTTCTTCAGAGCACAGGCGCTGGCTGCAGAGTAGGACACCTGTCAGCCTGTCGCAGTGCCTGGCCCAGGAGCACTCGGGAACCAGTGGCTGAAAGGTCTCCCTGTCTTCTCAGCTACTCTAATCCTTCCTTTCCACTGCCAGAGGGTTCTTTCTAAACAGATCCCCTCCTTTCATCCCACCCCTCAGATGGCATCCTCTGCCTCATCTGCCTGACAACAGCTACCCATCCTTTAGGATCAAAAGCCATCTCATCCTGGAAGCCTGATCGCAGGGCCAGGTTAATCTCCCTCCATCAGCCCCTTTGCATCCCGATATCTGTGCTGCAGCCCCATATAGCACACAGTCTGTATCCCTGAGGCAGGACCTCCTATCTGAGCCCCAGCATTGGCCAGGTAAACAGCAGGTGCTCAGCGGATGTTCATGAAGGACCGAATGGCCAAATCCTTGAACCTCAGCCTCTACCCACACCAATTGTGAGGAAAAAGAAACAAAAGTCTTTATTGATAAATAGCTTACAATGAAATAAATAGAGCAGTGGTTAGTTGAAGAATAAAAACTAGGGCAGAGGCTCGGTCTCTCTCCGCCCCTGCCTCTGGCCCTAAGCTTCAGCCCTCTGGCTGGACACTTTGGATGATGAGGCCTTGATGGGCAGCCCAGCCTTTCTAGGGCCCTTGGGGGCCTCTGTCTTCCTGGACAAATGTGCAGGTACCACCTTGGACCCACTGCCCTTAGCAGGAGCAGCAGCCTTGGTGTTTGGCCCCTGCCCAGCTTTAGGGGCCTTGGCCTTGGCCACCACCTTCTTTTTGGTCGGGGAAGCAGCACCATTCTTGACCTATACGAAAGCAAACCAGGAGCAAAGAGACAGCTGGGAAGGGCTGAAATCCCAGCTCTGGGTGGCTCTGGGTACACAACATCGCCCTTCTAAGCCTTAGTCTCTTATCTGTAAGATGGGGATGGCAACACCCCCAGGGTGCCAGGGGACCAGAGAGAAGGTGGTGGACTGTGCTTTGTAGGAAAAGAAATTGAGCCCCATCCCTGGATGACCCTTCCGGGGGCTGAGTGTGGGATGCCCAAGCTCTGGCCTGTTCAGGGCAGGCAGCCAGGCCAGGAAATTCATGCAGGCACCTACCTTGCTGGCCGTGGGTTTTGAACTCTTACTCTCAGCTTTGGTTTTCCTGTAGGCCTCAGCATCTCCTGGAATTTGATGGAGGAGGTTTTATAGGGGAAGAAGGAGGAACTGCTGGTGGGGCAGGAAGTTTCAGGGGCTCTAGAACCCCCATTCCTCCTGGGTCCTAGGTCTTCACTCAGTTATGTGACATGGGGCAAATCATTTAGCCACTCTGAGCCTCAGTGACCTAGTTTGAAGACTGGGAATAATAGCATGCCCCTCACAGAGTGGCTGGAGGGTTAACGGAAGCACTTGCTCTAGGCAAAGCACTAGTGCTCCAAGCCCACCAAAGCCAACGTCTAACGGGCCTGTCAGCTCGAGCCTTTAGTTTGTCTTCCACCTGGCAGCCAGGATACTTTTTTTTACTTTTAAGACAGGGTCTCGCTCTGTCACTGTGCTGGAGTGTGGTGGGGCGATCTCAGTTTACTGCAGCCTTGACCTCCCAGGCTCAAGCGATCCTCCTGCCTCAGCCTCCCAAGTAGCTGGGGCAACAGGTATGCAACACCATGCCAGCTAATATTTTTATTTTTTGCAGAGATGGGATCCTAGTATCTTGCCCAGATTGGTCTCTAATTCCTGGGCTCAGCACTCACCTGTGTGACAGAGCAAGAGCCTGTCTCTAAAAGAGAGAGAGGAAAAAAAATAATAACTCTAGCCCTAGCTGCTTCCTGTCAGAATCCTTCCACAGCTCTGCATTGTCCTCCAGATAAAGCCCTGATTCCAGCTGCCCTTCACAGCTTCTCCTTGCCAAAACTGTAGGTAGACTGAATTACATGCAGTTCCTCAAATACTCCACCTTCTTTTTGTGTTTTGTTTTGAGACTGAGTGTCACTCTGTCACCCACGCTGGAGTACAGTGGTGCGATCTCGGCTCACTGTAACATCTGCCTCCTGGGTTCAAGTGATTTTCCTGCCTCAGCCACCCAAGTACCTGGGATTATAGGTGTACACCACCATGCCCAGCTAATTTTTGTATTTTTAGCAGAGACGGGGGTTCACCATGTTGACCAGGTTGGTCTCAAACTCCTGACCTCAAGGGATCCGCCCGCCTTGGCCTCCCAAAGTGTTAGGCTTACAGGCATGAGCCACCATGCCCGGCCTAAAAACTCCACCTTCTTTATGCCTCCAGGCCTTTACACAGGCCCTTCCCCTGCTTGAGACACCTTCCTCCACTGCCTCAAGAATGAGTCAGTCTCCTGGTCTCTGCTTCCCCCTTCATAACCCTTGAAATGTCTGCCTCCTTCCCCCAACCAGCTACCATGAGTTCTCTCTCTCCAGGTCAAGCCCAGCACTCAGGACACATGCACTAGATAAGGAAACCCCTCTCCAGAGCTGGCTCCCCGCCCCCGCTCCAGTGGCTGTCAAGACCCCCATCCCCACACCACCCCCTACAAGTCACACAACTACCTTGGCTGCTCCTGCTGCCTTTGGCCTTTGCCTTCCTGCTGAGCCCACCAGCACTGGAAGGTGCCCGCATGGCCTTGTCTGGCTTGGGGGGCACCTTCCTAGCCTCTCCCGACTGTGCCCTGGTGTCCTTGGCCGCGCCGCCTTGCTTGCGAGCCTTCTCTGTGGCTGCGCCTGGCTTGGGAGGAGGCTTCTGCACCTTTGCTGGCCTCTTGGCTGCCTTTTTCACCTTGCCCACGTTGGGAGGGTCCTCCTTGGCCTCACTTGGTTTCTTGGGGCCCTTCCCCTTGGCCTCACCCGCTCTCCTGGGAGCCGTCGCGGGGGCCATCTTCCTGGGCTGGATTTTCTTCTTGTGCTTGGGAACTAACTGGAGAAGGACACGGGGTGGGGCTGAAAGCAGAGCCTCAGGTGCCTCACGCCCCCCACCCCCCGTAAGACTCCGAATGGGAGGCCTCGTTCCAAACAGGGGGGCTCCACAGGCAGTGAGAGGCAGGGAGAAGGCACGAAGCCACTGTCCTTGGAGGCACTGTCTACTATGATTCTAGGATCTCAGGATCTCTCAACCACCTGCCCTAGGCCTGCCACTTTCCCACAGATTGTGCCTCTGGACTCCTCCTCCCCCACTACCCTGAAGCGCTGCCCTGCCTCATGCCCCATGCCCCCACCACCTCGCCCCTTGACGCTCAGCAGAACATGGGCTGAGGTCAGATGGCTCTGGGCTCACAGCTTCCTCCGCCCTCCTCCAGCCGTGTACCACAGCCACGTCTTCTCATCTTTACAGCAGGACAATCACCAAGGCTGTGAGCGGCAGGGAAGGGAGGGCTCCTGGCAAGCTGTTTCTTTCCTGTCCCCCAACCCTCAGGGCTCCCCATCACCAAGACTAGAAACTACCTTCACCCCTCAACTGCCAGCACACCGCATCAGACACCTGACGCCCCTCTGGCTCTTCTCCCTGCTTAGCCGCCTGGTCCTGCTGTGACGCAAGTCCAGGCTCTGACCCACGCCCAGGAGTTCTACCAGGGTGGGACTTTCTGTGATCTGTCACCAGGTAACCACAGGGACCGGCTTGGGGTAGGCTGAGAATGTTCCCCAGCATTCCATGGCAACTGTCATGGCAGCTGCTACATGCAGGAAGTTAGGCAAGATGCAGGGGACCCAGCAATGACAAGTCAGGCCGTGGGTCTGGTCCCTGAGGTATTCCTGGTGGCTGATGACAGTCCTGATGTTGGGGTGCAGTTTTGTCCCAGACCTGCCTCAGCTCTGAGTGACCTGGCATGGGTCCCCTTTTGGAGCCTCCTTATAAAGATGAAACTCTCCCCTTTGAAACGGAGGACATGGCTGCTCAGGGAGGTGCCAGCAGAGGGAAAACCCTTTGCTGTGGTGAGGAATTCCAGGAAGGGGCTACGTGCCCAGGACCCAGAAGTTAGCACAGCTGACACAGGCCCTGGGATCCCAAACATGCAACAGTTCACCTGTCCTGGACACCAACAGGGTGACTCTTGCAGTGGGAGCTCAGAGAGGGCACACTACCTGCCTTCCTAGAGGAGAGGGCATCTCGGCTGAGACCACAGGAGGAACAAGGACAGGGGACCGGAGGGGAAAGGCCTTCCAGTAGAGGCCGCAGCACTCACAGAGGCCAGGACCATTGCTCCAACCCTGGGCTATGTCCTCCCTCAGGGGCGCTTACTTTGAAGCTGCCAGTGGCCCCCCTGGCTTTGGAGTTGAGGGGCCTGGCGAGGAGGCCACGGCGCATGCCAGTGGCCAGCGCCTGCTTCAGCAGGTACTTGAAGCGGAGGACGTCCACTGTTGGGTACTTGTGCAGGATGTAGAGCTTGATAGCTGCCACCGACGTGCCCCGGCGCTGCTCCCCAGCCTGCAGCGCCTCCAGCACCATGCGTAGCACCGGGGGGTGGCGGCGTCCCACCGGGAGGCTGCTGTGGCTCGGGCCTCCTGGTGGGACACCGCCGTGGCTCGGGCCTGAGGAGAGATGGCAGGCCATCACCCGGGGCCCAGTCACAACTCAGTGGCAGGCATCAGCTGGCCCGTGGGGGGTGGGTGAGGGTCCAGCAAGGATCAGATGCCCCCCTCTCCCCAAGACACTGACCGCTGGCATGGGAGCTCCCGGATGGTCTCCCCTCAAGGCTCACTGAGTCTCTCTCTCTTTTTTTCTTTGAGACACTGTCTCTCTATGTCCCCAGGCTGGAGTGCAATGGCGTGATCTCAGCTCACTGCAACCTCCACCTCCTGGGTTCAAGCAGTTCTCCTGCCTCAGCCTCCCAAGTAGCTGGGATTACAGGCGCTGCCACCATACCTGGCTGATTTTTGTATTTTTAGTAGAGACAAGGTTTCACCATGTTGGCCAGGCTGGTCTTGAACTCCTGACCTCATGACCCACCCGCCTCGGCCTCCCAAAGTGCTGGGATTACAGGCTTGAGCCACCGTGCCCAGCCAAATCTCTCTTTTTAAAGAATGGAGTATTCCTTTAGAAAAACAATCTAAATTGGGTGAATTTCGTAACTGTGGGTTTACAGGACCTCCGGGGGCTATGTGCACATTCTCAGAGGCACCCAGACTGAGAGACTCTCCAGGGCACACAGCCGGGTTTCTTCCACAAATAAGGGGGGAAAGAAAAAGTGGGAGGGGCACCCTATGGACTAAAGGTCCTTAGGAAACCTCTCAACCAAATGCTCATTCCCAGAGCAGGATTTGAACAATCCAACTGGAAAAAGAAAGGCAACAGATAAATGTGAGCACTGGAAGGAAATATCGGATATTAGGGATAATATTGTTTCAAGTGTGCTAATGGTATTACAATTGCTTTTTAAAAGGCTCTTATCTGTTAAAGGTAAATATTATAAAAGATATTTACAGATGAAATGATACATAAATCCAGCATTTGCTTTGAAATAACCCAGCAGATGAAACAAGAGTGTCCACAAGATGGTGACTGTTGGAGCTGGGTGACGGGTACAGTGGAAGGGAGTTACAGACCATTTGGTAGTCTACTTTTGTATCCATTTGAAAGTTTTTTGTTTTGTTTTATGGAGACAGGGTCTCAATCTGTCACCCAAGCTGGAGTGCAGTGCCACAATCATGGCTCACTGCAGCCTTGACCTCTCCAGCTCAAGTGATCCTCTTGCCTCAGTCTCCGAAGTAGCTGGGACCACAGGCACACACCACCACGCCTGGCTAATGTTTGTATTATTATCATTATTATTATTATTATTATTATTATTATTATTATTGTTATTGTTATTTGACACAGGTCTCACTACATTGCTCAGTTTAGTCTCAAACTCCTGAGTTCAAGCTATCTTCCCACCTCAGTCTCCCAAAGTGCTAGGATTACAAGCATGAGCCACCATGCTCGGCCCTGAAAGTTTTCATAATAAAAAGTTACCAAAAAATTCCACTCTTCGGTATATACCTGAGGGAAATGAAAACGCATGTCCACACAAAAATGTACACATGAATGTTCATAGCAGCACTATTCATGTCGGCCCAAAGATGGAACCAGCCCAAACATCCATGATGAATGATTGACAGATGGATGAACAAAATGTGGTCGCTACCCATCCCGTGGAATATTATCCAGCCATACAAAGGAGTGAAGCCCTGGCTACGACATGGAGGAGCCCTGAAACATGCAAAGTGAAAAAAGGCAGTCAGAAAAAGCCACATACTGTCTGATTCCATTTATATGAAATGTCCAGAATAAGAAGTCCATAGATGCAGAAAGCAGATTGGTGGTTGCCAGGGCTGGGGAGTGGGGGTGGAGAGTGACTGCTAATGGGTACTGGTTTTCTTGAAGTGATGAAAATATTCTAAAATTGATTATAGAGATGGATACACAACTCTGAGTATACCAAAAGCCATTGTACACTTTAAAGGGTGAATTGTATTGTATGGGAATTATTTCTCAATAAGGTGTTATAAAATAGTTGCAAATGAAGTGGGATCAAGGGTGGGGGAAGCATGAGAAGTTGTCAGTCACCATGAAATGCATAAAAGGGATTTAAATATGAAACCGGATTTAAATGTGGTGAATGGAAATGTTGATTTCTGATCAATCTGCAGAATTTAAAGACTTAAATTCTGGGCAATATCGTGAGACCTCGACTCTACGAAAATCTTTAAAAATGAGCAGAGTGTGGTGGTGTGTGCCTATAGGCCTAGCTACTTGGGAGGCTGAGGTGGGAAGATTGCTTGAGCCTGGGAAGTGGAGACTGCAGTGAGCTGAGATCACACCACTGCACTCCAGCCTGGGTGACAAAGCAAGACCCTGTCTCAAAAAAAAAAAAAAAATTGGCTATATTAAAATTTTTTTTCAATAGAAAAAAAAAACCATGAAACTCTAGATCTAGAGCAAAATTATAAAGAGACCTAATCACTTCGACCCCTGTTGGGTCCTGGCCATGACGAGCCCAGTGTGGGAATATTCATTTGGGGGCCAAAGGCGTTGAGCTGGTGTAGTCCTGGGTCACTCCCGGGTTCTCGGGAGTTTCATTCTTCCCTCTAGGCCTCAGTCTTCCCATCCGTACAGTGGGGACGGGGGCCTCTAAGGAGGTCTGAGCCCTCCCAGCTGCAGTGCTACAGGGCTTCCCAAGGGTCTTCGCTTGGCCTGACTTCACGAGCAGCTCCAACCCCTCCTCTGCTTCCCCCAGACCATGTCTGTCCCAGAGAGCCACCCCCAGGAGTCCTCCCTCAGGTCTGTTCCCTCTCATCCCAGCCCCTCATTCGGCAGCTATTCCATGCCTGCTGTATACCAGGATGTCCAGAACAGAGCTCAGCCCCCCAAATCTGCCCCTCCTCTCTCTTCCAGGAATGCCCCATGCCCCCACTGCCCATACCTACCCAACATCCAAGCAAGAACTGGGGGCATTCTGGGCCCTTTCCTCCTCACCACACCCACTCGAGGCCTCCCCATAGGCTTTTCTCTCCATATTCTGGCCTCTCCTCTCCAACTCCCCAGCCCCAGCCTCCTCCCCACTGCCTCTTCCCCACCGCATGCATTCTCCTCGCTGTATCTCACACCCCTCACCTCCCTGCTTGAAACCGTCCATGGCTCCCTGTTCAAGATAAAAGTTGACCTAACTGAAGACCGCCTTGGAGGCCCTCCCACTGCTCCCCTAGCACTGCCCCAGCACTTCCCTCCTTCCCAGAAGGAAGATGCAGCTTCCGAGACAAGCTGCTGGTGCGCTGGCCTCTGGGCCTTAGCCCATGCCGTTTCCTCTGCCTGGGCTGCCTCTCTCCTCCCGGTCATGCAGGCTGCTCTCACTCATCCTTCAAGGCTCAAAATGCACCTTGGTTTGGACACCTCTGACTTCCCAGTTAACTCTGCCCTTTTACTTCTCGGCACCTGGACCCCCTCCCTATCTCCCTAGGTGTCTTGGCAAATAGAACACTTCCCCCGGCTGAGGCACACCCATCCTTCAGGGTCACCTCTTCTAGGAAGCTTTCCCTGACCTCCCAGAGTGGGTTAGAGGACTCCTCTGGGCTCCTCCAGCTCTGGATTACCGCCACTGAAGCACACATCACATTAGCAAACAGCAACAAGCCATGGGCCAGGCTTCCCCATCAGACCGGGAGGTCCTCGAGGGAGTGAACTGGGCCTGGTTTGCCTCGGTGCACCCTCATGTCCAGATAAACCCTGAGGTGTTTTTTGGTTGAAAATCGGAATGCCTAGCCCTGCATAAAATGCTCCTGCCCCAGTCCCTCCAACTAGCTGCCCACAGCTGCAGCCTGGCTACGGGCTACGGTCCCAGCAGGAAACGGGCTCCAGCTGGAAGGCCCTGTGGCTCTTCCCTGAGCGAGGCCGGCCCCAGCCCCCAGGCCCTACCTGGCCTTGCTACCTGTAGATCAGCTCTTCAGCCAAAAGGCAGTTGAGCTCAGCAGCTTGGTGCTGGGTGGGTGCTGGGTGAGTGCTGGGTGAGTGCTGGGTGGGTGCTGGGTAGGTGCTGGGGCCAGGCTGGGAAAGAACGAGAAGCAGGGGTGGAGCATCAAAGGCAACCCAGGGAGTGGGCTCGCAGGGATGAGGGAGGAGCTGCCTCCTCTTGCTCACCTGGCTTTTCAGATTCAGGAGACCTGGATGATCCTGCTGTGGAAGTCGAGGAGGGTGAGATGTCGCTGGTGACGCTCCCAGGAGCCATGAGACCGACAGGTGCAGCCAGCAGACCCCTCACCCGGGTGTGAGGCTGCTGGGCCTGCCCACTAGGCTTATATACCAGCAGCCCACCCCCACCACTCCAATCAGCCCTGATTGGGCTGGGAGTGCTCCAAGCTGCTGACTGGGGCTGGAGGTGTGGAATGGGGCACAGCATCCTGCCTTCTGTAGGGAGCCCCAGCTGGACTACCCACTCCTGTGTAAGCTTGGGGGTGTCGCTTGACTTCTCTGGGTCTCAGTCCCCATGGTGCAATGTTGGGAGCTGAGATGCTTGATCTCGCCTGTGCCCTCTGCCCACCAGGGGCTGGAGATGCTGATGAGGAATTGGGGTCACCTGTGTTGTCAGGGAGGCCGCTGAGGCGGCCCTCTAATCCTACCAGGTGGGCAATGGGCTGCCCCACGCCACTGCTGGCCTCAATTTCTCAAAAAGTAGCAGTTGGAGGCAGCCCAACTGCTACTTTTGCCCAGAGCACATGCCCCTCAATCAGAGTAGCCCCTTCTGAGGCCAGCCAGGCTCTCTGGGCCTATGCCCTCCTTTGGTTTTGTTTTTAAAGAAATAAATCAATAACGGAGGATGCTTCACAAAAGTCTTCATAGATAAGGACAACATCCACTGGGACAATGGACAAAGAATATAAACAGGCAATTCACCAGCCTAAAGGGTGAGGAACAGAAACAGGAAAATGGACACTCAACTTCCTTGGCATTTGAGAAAATTCAAATTGAAACAATGGTGAAATACTACTTTTTCCCATCAAATTGACAGACAAAAAAAAAAAACTTTCCAAGCAAACACCCAAGGCCTGGCTAAATCACACCCTTTCTGCAGAATATTCTGCAGCCATCTAAAATGACAAGGTGGGCTGGTGCGGTGGCTCAGGCCTGTAATCCTAGCACTTTGGGAGGCTGAGGTGGGCGGATCACCTGAGGTCAGGAGTTTGAGACCAGCCTGGCCAACATGGTAAAACTTCATCTCTACTAAAAATACAAAATTAGCTGGGCGTGGTGGTGTGCACCTGTAGTCCCAGCTACTTGGGAGGCTGAGGCAGGAGAATCACTTGAACCTGGGAGCTGGAGACTGCAGTGAACCAGGATCGAGCCATTGCACTCCAGCCTGGGCAACAAGAGCGAAACTGTGTCTCAAAAATAAGTAAATAAAAATAAAATAAAATAATATAATATAATATAAAATGACAAGATGGATTAAAACAAGGATGAGAGGCCAGGCATGGTGGCTCATACCTGTAATCCCAGAACTTCGGGAGGCTGAGGCAGGAGGATCGCTTGAGCCCAGGAGTTCAAGACCAGCCTAGGCAAAAAAGTGAAATCCTGTCTCTACCAAAAAATACAAAAATTAGCTGGGCATGGTGGTGTGCACCTGTAGTCCCAGCTACCTGGGAGGCCGAGGCAGGAGGATTGCTTGAGCCTGGGAGGTCAAGGCTGCAGGGAGCTGTGATCACACCCCTGCACTCCAGCCTGGGCTACAGAGTAAGACCCTGCCCCCCCCAAAAAAAAGGGGGAGGGAAAGAAAAGAAAACAAACAAGAATGAGGCTGTATTTCACACTCAGCAAAATGACAAAGATGTAAGTGTCTATCAATAGTGAGTGACTAGGATTCAAGGAAAGTATAGCTGCTGGGGGGTGGGGAGTGAGCTGGTAGCCGCCTTAGAAAGCAATTCAGCGATGTTTCATACAACTAAGGAGGGACTCACTCCACAACCCACCTATTCCACTCTAGGCGTAGATCTGAGACAAACATATACACTTACGTGCAAAGATGTTTATTTCAATCTTAGCAGAAATTCAAAACAACATAAATGCCCATCAGGTGGAGAGTGAACAAGTAAACTGTGGCCTATTCGCACAGTGGAGTAGTATGCAGTAGTGAAAAGGAGTGAACCAGAATGTATCGGAGAGTACACCCCAACTACTGAGAAGACAAAACTTGCGTGTGTGTGTGTGTGTGTGTGTGTGTGTGTGAAGGCACAATAGTTCTTTTTAATTTTTAAAAAATTTTTTTGTTTTTTTATCTTACCAGTCACAAGCAGTAGAAAAAAGTTCTGAATGGATTCATACCAAGGTAATAGTAGAAGTGGTTACCTCTGAGGAAGGGATGGGTTTTAAACAGCATACATTCTTCTCTAGGTAGTCTCTTTATTGTGGAATTTTCCCAGAGGGCTCTCCATCACCAGAGATCTGGACTCGGGGAGGCTGTGGTCATCAAAGTGTTCTAAAGTGAAGTCAGATTTCACTCCCCCGCTTAGCATCCTGCATGGCTCCCCACTGCCCGTGGGTGAAAGTTCATGCTCTTCAGTCTGACTTAAGGAGCCTCCTCCCCGCTTGAATCCCACAATTCACCCACACTGCGGCTCCTGGAATGGGCCATGTGCTGATATCGGGCCCCTTTTGTCTCCTCTGTGTGTGTTGAATTGATGCAGAACTGCCCCCAATTTTTCACTCCTGCCCATTTGCAATGTAACTTTGCAACCCCTCTCACATTTCTTGTTTGTTTGTTTGTTTTTTGAGACAGGGTTCCACTCTGTCGCCCAGGCTGGAGTGCAGTGGTGCAATCATAGCTCACTGCAGCCTCGACCTTCTGGGCTCAAGTGATCTCCTACTTCAGTCTTCCAAGTGGCTAGGACTCAGGCACATGCCACTATGCCTGGCTAATTAAAAAAAAAATATATATATATATATATATATATATATATATATATATATATATATATATATATACACACACACATACATATATATATGTGTATATATATGTATGTATATATATTAGAAATGGAGTCTTGCCATGTTGCCCAGGCTGGTCTTGAACTCCTGGCCTCAAGTGACCTCCCACCTGGCCTCCCAAAGTGTAGGGATTACAGGCATGAGCCACTGCACCTGGCCCCTCCCACATTTCTTAAGTCTGAGTGGATTCCTTAAATCTTATGACTTGCTTTGACCAATAGCAGAAATGATGGTATGCCAGTCCCATTGCCATGTTAACTAGCTCCTAGCTAGCCTGCCAGATGCTGAGGCCTATGGCCATCACCCCTGTTACCCAGCCATCTGAGGGTCAACCAGCCAGTCCCCAGCCAACCCTCCAGTTGACCACAGATGCTTGAATGAACCCAGCCGAAATTGACCAAGCTTGGTTCAGATCAGCAGATCTGCCTGGCTGATCCAGAGTCATGAATGATATGCAGCTTGTTGTTTTAAGCCATGAAGTGTTGGGGTTGTCTGTCTTGCCGTACAAGTCAATTGATACACTTGGCCTTAGAAAGCCCCTCTGTATGCACTGCCCCCCCTTCTCTGGACTCTTTCCCACTCATCTTTTGGCCTCAGAGTAGATGCCGCATCTTCAGAAAAGCCTTCCCTGGCCTCTAGAAGGTTAGGGGCCCCTCCTCTGGGCTCTGCCAGGCCCCAGCCTTGCTCCTGGAGAGCCTCAAGCGCTCTGAATCGCAGCTCTGCTTCCGTGTCTCCAGCCTTTGCGCTCTGGTTGAGGAGCAGGGCTGTATCTGTCTTGTTCCTGGTGGTATCCCTGGTGCCCAGCACAGCACCTGGCACACGGTCGGTGCTCAGTACCCATTACTGTGATACCTGGAGGTCCCAGTGCTGGAGGCCTGAAAACCCTCTTCCGGGACTATGCTGGAGCAGAAGACGAAGCAAAGAGGCAAATGGAAGTTGGCACAAGTGGGGGCAGCAATTTTGATCACATTTATGGGACACTTCCAAGAACTGAGAAGTAGAGCAACACTCAGTGATAGAAACATTCCCACGAGCTTCTTCCGAAACCATGCTCCCGGCTGTGCCAGGATCAAGTTTCGCATTTGAAGGGAAGAAGCTCTAAAATGTGCTGCATGATCTAAAAATTCCTCTAGAGGATTGCCTTTTTACAGGGAAATGGTAATTCTGAGCATCAGACTGCAGGGACAACGGGCCGCTTGGTGAGCTTCTGTGATTTTTTACTGAGGCCTGTATGAAATGTAACTTCTGCTGAGAACTAGTTATGAAACACTGAATGGGGTCAGCCTACATGTGAACTGCCCTACAGTTCTGAAGATCACAGTTCTGAACTTTTGGAAGCAGTTTTAGGGTGTCTGCTTTGTGTAACTCCAGCCCCTGTAACATCAGGACATTTGTGACTTTTCTTTCCTGACTTTTAGTCAATAAATATATAAAGGGCGGGGTAGAAATAGTAATGGCTGCCACATTCGACATCCATGTAAATATTTTATATTCACTATTTTATTTATACATGGAGAAGCTGAAGTTCAGAGAGGACCTGCACTTCGATCTTCCTGAGTTCCTGGGCTGCAGCCTGGAAGCCCTTTGTTTTAGTAAAGAAATTGGCTATAGGCCAGGCGTGGTGGCTCATGCCTGTAATCTCAGCACTTTGGGAGGCTGAGGCAGGCGGATTACTTGAGCTCAGGAGTTCAAGATCAGCCTGGGCAACATGGCAAAACCCCGTCTCTACTAAAAATACAAAAAATTAGCCAGGCAAGGTGGTGCGTGCCTGTAATCCCAGCTACTCGGGAGGCTGAGGCAGGAGAATTGCTTGAACCCAGGAGGTAGAGGTTGTAGTGAGCCAAGATTATGCCACTGCACTCCAGCCTGGGCAATAGAGCAAGACTCTGTCTCAGAAAAGAAAGAAGGAAAGGAAGGAAGGAAGGAAGGAAGGAAGGGAGGGAGGGAGGGAGGGAGGGAGGGAGGGAAAGGAAGGAAGGAAAAGAAATTGGCTATAACTCCAAAATCACAAGTGACTTAAACAAGAAACCATGAAACTCTTCCCTCTTGAAACTCTTTAAGCATAAGTTGGCCAGGGCTGTTAAGGCAGCATGGGGGAACCATGGTGAGACACACCAGAGAACACTTTGCCATTCTCTGTCCTCAGATTCTATCTCATGATCTAATATGGGTGCGGAAGCTCCAGTCATCATGACTGCTTTCCAGCCAGCAGGAAGAAAAGATGAGAGGAAAAGGAGGGCACTTCCATTCTCCAAAATGCACAACCTAGAGACTGCACACATCATTTCTGAGTACCCTACAATGACTGGACCTTAATATCCTGCCACCACAGGTGCAAAAGAAGCCGAAAGATGCTGTCTTGTGTTGAGCAACCAGGTGCCCAGCTAGAACCTAGGATGATATTGTTAATAGAAGGAAAGGGAATGAATACTGGGGGCAGTTAGCACTTGCTTCCCCACTTTTGCAAGACCCCCCTCTCTGTGTTAATCTCCTTACAAGTCAATTTCCCACCACACAAGCGGCTGCCTCCTCTGAACTTAGTTCATGTCTCTGGGAAGGGAATTCACATTTATTGAATGTCTACTGTGCACAGCACCCTTTACACCATTAATCTTATTAGTCCCTATAGACAATTCTACCAAGTGGGATAATTCTCTCCTTTATAGCTGAGGGGCCTGAGTCTTGGAGTAATTCAAGGACTTGCCCAAACCAAGTGCTGTGGCTCATGCCTGTAGTCGCAGCACTTTGAGAGGCCAAGGCAGGAGGATCGTTTGAGGCTGGAAGTTCAAAACCAGCCTGGGCAACATAGGGAGACTCCATCTCCACAAAAAATAAAAAATAAGTTGGGTGTGGTGGGGTGTGCCTGTGGTCCTGGCTACTTGAGAGGCTGAGACAGAAGGATTGCTTGAAACTGAGAAGTCGAGGCTACAGTGAGCTATGAGGGCACCACTGTACTCCAGTCTGGGTGACAAAGTGAGACCCCATCTCAAAAAAAAAAAAGAAAAGAAAAAGAAGAAAGAAAGAAAGAAGCAAGGAAGGAAGGAAGGAGCAAAGAAAGAAAGAAAGAAAGAAAGAAAGAAAGAAAGAAAGAAAGAAAGAAAGAAAGAAAGAAAGAAAGAAAGAAAGAAAGAAAGAGAAAGAAAGAAAAAGAAAGAAAGAGAACTTGCCCTGAAGCTACATAGTTGGGAAGGGCACCCACTCTCTCCTTATGGGGCACCTCAGGCTTTCAGGGGTGCATCTCTCCCTTGGCGTGACAGAGCTCTGTGGCCGTGAGGCAGCCCAGGTCATAGCCTAGAGACTTGGTCTCTAGGCTCCAATTCATCTCCGAGTCCCCAGTGCATTCTGGCATGGGGTCAGCTTGCTCAGGTTTGGTTGAATGGAGCTGCCATTGTACCCAAGAGGCACTCTGTACATCTGCTGGCTGCCTGGAGATGAGGTGGGGCCAAACTTGCTGCAACTTAAGGCAGCAGCTCCTTCTCTTTATGTATGCAAGTGCCCACGAAGCAGCTGTCAAGTCATTTGTAAATTAAGGAGGTGGAGGCTTTCTTGTCTATCAGGACAAACCAGAGAATGTTCTGGTGTTAGAGTAAAATTTTCCTCTGGACATGAGGCTGGGGCAAATGTACCATTTCTCAGAAAAAGTGGGCTGGGTTGGGGTTGGGGCGGGGAGCTGGAATGGGCTGCCTGCAAGTCAGGGCAGCTAAGATGCCACTGTCCCACCCACTGCCACCCTGGCCCAACACAGCATCCAAAACAAAGGGTGAGACCTTCGGGACCACCCATAGGAATCTTCTCCCTCATGTCCCTGAGATGATGAGGGAGGGAGGCCTGGTCCAGCCACGTGCCCAGAAAACACCAACTTAGATTCCATTCCCTCTGGGTTGATGTTGGCTCTGCTCACCCTGCCTCCTGCCCTCCTACTTCAGGTAACAGCACCTGGGCTTTCCTTTGTGAAACCTACCTCTCCCCATTCAGCCTGCTTGGGCTGCAGGGTGAGCATGTGACCTAGGTCTGACCAATCAGAGGATGAATCCCCATTCCAGCCATGGTGATGCAGTTAGACCTGCGTATGCCTAGTATTCCATTATTGGAACGCTAAGCATGTGGGAGTTATTTATATCCTACTGCTCAAGGTCATCGCCAAGGTCTGATTGCAAAAATCCAAAAAATTGCAACCTCAGGCATAAATGAGTTACGTATGATCAGGTGACCTAGACTTGGCCAATCACAGAATTAATCCCCATCTCAGTCATGGTGATACCCTGTGCCTGAAGCCCCGGGCTTTTTGTTCATGTGAGCCAACAATGTGTCCCTTTTGCTTCAGCCCAAATGAGTTGGATTTCCTATCACTTGTGACCAAAAGTATCCTGACTGATATTATCTAGTGAGTCACAGTAAAGAGGGACAATGATAGAGATCCCAGCATGATTTGCCCCAGCCTCACCAAGGCACCGAGGATCGGCTATCTCATGCTCCTGCCCTCCTTTCTCACCTCGGAGGAGGGGGTGACTCTCGGGAGCTTTAGCTCCATCCTTTTCCCCTTTGGGACAGGGTCTCTAGTAAGGCCAGCTCTGAGCTGAAGCCCAGTATTGCCATAGTCTCATCTGCTGCATGCCAGGCAGTAGGCTGGCCACTTAAAGTCCACAGTCGCATCTAATCCCCTTAGGATCAAGTGGTTTTTTTGTTGTTGTTTTTTGTTTGTTTGTTTGTTTGTTTGTTTGTTTTGTTTTGTTTGGAGACAGACTGTCCCTCTGTTGCTCAGGCTGGAGTGCAGTGGCGCAATCTCGGCTCACTGCAACCTCCACCTCCCAGGTTCAAGCGATTCTCCTGCCTCAGCCCACTGAATAGCTGGGATTACAGGCACGCGCCACCATGCCCAGCTGATTTTTGTATTTTTAGTAGAGACAGGGTTTCACCGTGTTGGTCAGGCTGGTCTCAAACTCCTGACCTCGTGATCTGCCCACCTTGGCCTCCCAAAGTGCTGGGATTAGAGGTGTGAGCCACTGTGCCCAGCCAAGGTCAGTTTTAAGATTCTTTTTTGCAGATAAGGAAGCTCTGAGAGGTGACAAAGCTTGTTTGCAGTTTTATGGGTTACCTGTGCCTCTATGACCCCAAAGTTGGGGTTTTTCCCATTCCCAGGACTGCCTCCTCCACCTCTAGCCCCAGGGGACTCTGTGCTGCTTGGCTCTGCTCATTGCTCAATCCAGCCATCCCAGGGTCAGGGATCAGGTGGAAGCTGGCAGTTTCAATCTATCCTGTGGATAGAGTGTGAAAGCAACAAAACCCACCACCGTTAATACCAACATAGGAGCTGAGCTTTTAATGGCCCAATTTGCCTTAGTCTCCAGGCAGAGCTGGGTAAAGCTAGAGCTTCTGGCTTTGCTTATATGGAGAAGGGGGAGCAGTTACTGAGGCAGCTTAATTCTGACACCTCAGAGATGTGGCCAGCTTTTTGGAGCAGATTCTCCAGAATGGAGAATGGACTAGCAACTGCTGAAGATGGGCTTGTCTGGCAAGGGAAACTGGAAACTGGGGCCCATGAACATCCCCAAGGAAGGTAGGCCCAGTGGAATTTCCCACTCTTTGTTTCTAAGCTCTTCGAGATAAGGATGACATCAGGGACTCAGCTGTTAATTAAATGTGGGCGGGTGAGCATGGCTTCTAGAGGCTCCATGCTCTAGATGCTGGGACCCAGGTGCTAGAGCAAAAGAGCAGGTGGCTTCCAGAGGCTGAGAGAAAGGCCTGTCTCTCCATAGGCCACATTGGGAAGGGGAGGCACGGGACCTGGGGCCCCACACTAGGGGTGAGACCCCAGGCCCAATCTCACCCTCATTGGGAACTTGGCCTTCACCGTCCCCCTCCCCCAGTGTTGTTTTTTCAGGTCTGATGACTGCATTCTGCATTCCTGTGACTGTCCCTGCCTACAGCCCAACCCCCAGCCCTGGTCTGGCCTTGATGCCTAGCTAATTTTTAAAAACCTGCCCCAAGGTTGGGTGAAACCCCATCATCTGAATGCCCAATCTCAAAATGTTCACTATCAGGAGGTGATAATCATAGTAATTAACTAGTTACATTAATTGATGTTATTCACAACATTAACTAGAATCTGTACAGCTTCTTGCTATTTACAAAGTGCTGAAACACACACATAGACACACACACACCTCTTTTGGTCTTCTCAGTAGCTGCGTGTCGGCAGGACCAGGGATCTGGGATTTCCATTTTATAGGAGAAGAAAGTGAGGCCCAGGGAGGGAAAAACAACTGCTCCATATCATTAGCCAAGTATGAGTTGCTGCTGCTGCGAGGGTCTGAGAGGATAGATATGTTCTCCCTTCCCATTCATTCCTCCATTCCTTCCTGCATCCATCCAGCATTTATTAAGCACCTACTGTGTGCCCCATTCTGTGCTAGACACTTATCCCTAAGCTGGGACACTTTTCCAGAAAGCAAGAATCCTCGTGTTCCTGAAAGATGAGTTGGGAGGAGGAGGGGCACACATCCCGCTGGCCTTGGGGAACGTGGGACTCCAGATCAGTAGGTCTTGGTGGATGTCCCTTCTCAGGCTGTCCCAGGTGAGTGAGGAGCCTCATTAATTATTTCTTAAAAAAAAAAAAAAAATTAAGGAGCCTATGTGACTTCGTTCATTCTGCACAGGCGCTGCTCCTGGTGGGATGGCTGTGGCTGGGGGAAGGTGTAGGGGATGGGAGACGCCTATAGTCGGCCACAGAGTCCTAGGCAGGTCTTAGGCCGGGGCCACCTGGCTCGTCTCCGTCTTGGACACGGTAGCAGAGGCCTCATCGTCACCCAGTGGGTTCTTGCCGCAGCAGATGGTGGTGAGCATGCAGTTCCGGAACTGGAAGGCAAGAGGCTTGAGTCAGGGCCAGGGCTGCCCACAGTGTGCTTGGAACTGGCACGTTAGTGAGGTTCGCCCCGACCCTTTGCCTGCTTCTGCCCCTCACGATTCCAGCGCCCCATCCACTCAAATCCAGCTTCCTGGAGGGAACCTGCTAGGCAGACGCTCCTCACCCCTAGAGATGCCAGGGACTGAGCACAAGGGGGCTGTGTCACCCGTGACATTTCATGGTGCCCTCTGTGTGCCAAGGGTGTTCTGTAAATTATCTCTTGTAATCCAAGAGTTTGGTGTTTTGCCCTTTCTACCTTTCTATGGATGAGGAAACCAAAGCACAGAGAAGGAAATTGACTTGCCCAGGGCCATACAGCTAGAAAATGGCAGAGCTGACTTCAGAGACTGTTTACCCAACTGTTTACCCCTCGGAGGTACCTCTCCGAGGAACCCTTTACCCCTTTACCCCTCAGAATAAGACTTTTTAGCTCCTTATTCAGCTTTATGGAGACTGGCCCATCCCATTCCCGACTTGGGTCCTTCTGACTTTGACATTGGGCTTCCAGAACTAGCTGACTGGAGCTTCTCCCACCTGAGTGAGCATCTGAGCCACCTGTGGAGGGCTTGCTGGAAATGCAGGTTCCTGGGCCCACCCTGAGATTCAGCAGTTCTGAGTGGGGCCAGGAATCTGCATTTCTCACACACTCCCCATTGGGACTGCTGACCCAAGACTGCTGCCAGTAACCCTGATGGAGCCCCCTCCCCTGCCCTGGGAAGTAGCTTGTCCTTGGCAGGCAGCGCCTGTGGCCTGGGGCACTGGGGCCCTCCCACCCGCAGTAGGCACCTGCTTGTTCATCATGATATAGATGACAGGGTTGTAGATGGCGGCGCTCTTGGCAAAGAACGCTGGGATGGTCATGAAGATGGGACCGAAGTTGGAGCCCTGGTGGGTGAAGATGTAGAATGCCACGCTGGCGTAGGGCACCCAGCAGATCAGGAAAGCGATGACCATGATGATGACCATGCGGGTGACCTCCTTCTCTGCCTTCTGTGTGGTGGCTGACTCCTGCTGCTGGGCAGCGGCCTGCAGGACACGGGACCCGGGTCCAGACCATGGCTCCTCCAGGGAGCAGGAGCCGCAGATGCATGCTGGGGGCTGGACCCTCAGAGCCGTGAGGCCGCCCACCCCCCGGCCCGTACCTCCTTGACGGTGAAGACGAGCTGCCCATAGCAGAAAAAGATGATAATCATGGGGATGGTGAAGTGGACCACGAACATGTAGATGACAAAAGACTCGTTGTTGACCTCCGGCTTGAGCGTGTAGTAGTCGATTCCACACGAGCACTGCAGGCCCTCGGGGATGTACCTGAGGACAGGCAGGTAGGGAGACCCTGCCTGTGAGGGACTTGGGAACAGCCAAGGTGGCTGCCGAGCGCTGGCCCTTTCTGGGGCTTCACATTCCCTCCCTGGAAAAGGGGATCATAAACGTCTGCATGGCTGGGTGACAGGATGGAATGGATCAGATGGGGATGCAGATGCACCTTGTGGAATCAGTGTCGCTTCATTGTTTGGTGGCTGCGTTACCAGATGACACCACCCAGCCTCTCCCTGCATGCCCAGCCCCAGCATCCACTGCCCGCTGAGGCTAGGGCTATGCCACGCAGAGGGTTGGTGAGGAGGTGGGGAGAGCCCTCAGGCTCTGCATTTGAGGAAGTTTGTACAAACCGAGGTCTTCCTAGCCCCAGGGTGAGAGTATTTTCCAGGCCAAAGATGGACACACAGAGTATCTAAGGGATCTTTGTGCAGCTTCTGGAAACTAGAGGCTTCCAGCGCACGTCATTAGGACGTGGCAATGGTTCCTGATATTGGTGACAGTGGACGGGCCTCAGGAAACCCAGAGCGTCCAGCGGCTCTGCTTCCAGAGGATAGAACTAGGCCAGATTGGAGAAGATGGGGAAAAAGTCCAGGGGGTGGGCTCAAATTCAGCAAGGGGTAAGAAATGGACCCTAGCAAGACTGAGGAGGAAAGGGAAGTGAGAGTGGGAATTTTCTGGAGACAGAGGGACATGAGGCCTCTGGGGACCAGAGTCACCAGTCCTATTGTCCAAACCACTGTCCCCACTGTGTCTCATCTCAGCCCCATTAGGAGACAATCGCCTAGAGGCTGAGTGGGACCCAGTTCCAAGGGGCCACAATATGGCCACCTGCACTAGGAAGGTGTGGCCTCCCCTGCTGCTGAGGCCCAAGGTTAGAGGGGGCTGCCCCCGGGGTACTAGACCAAAGAGGATTGGAATTTGCGCCTAGCTTAGTTGAGGATTAGGGGCACAGCCAAGGTGAAGGGTTGGGATGTCTTGGATTCTGTTTGACATGGGGCTCAGGAGATGGGACCAGCCCTTGTAGCAACATTAGAGTCTGTTTCTTCTTCTGCCCTACACCCCTACCCTGAGTGGGCATTTGGGCCAGGAGACATACAAGGTCAGTGCCTGGAACCAGACACTACTGGGTTTGAGTCCTGACTGGAGGACCCTACAAAGAGCCCCCGGAGCTTCTTCCCTTCTGCTCAGTGCCATTACCTGGACCAGCCGGCGAGTGGGGGTGCGGCGCAGGCCAGCGCCATGACCCAGGTGAAGGCAACGCCCATGATGGCATGGTTCTCCCCGAAGCGGAAGTTGCTCATGGGCTTACACACCACCACGTACCGCTCGATGGCCAGGACCACCAAGGACCACAGGGCAATTTCACCTGCAAGGCAGTCAGCAGGCGGTCAGCACAGACCCCACTGCCTAAGGAGGGTGCACTCCCCCCTAGACAGGGAGAGGGTAGCTAGGAAGGCAACCAGGAGTGGGAGAGGGATTTGAGGAGGCCTTGGGGAAGGAGAGAGCTTGGTGCTGGGAGGAGGGGGAAGGGGCAGAGGGACCACACGCTGAGGAGAGCTGGGCAAAGAAATTCCAGGGAATGGGGGAAGTTATTTGCTTAGCGCTCTGGGCCCATAAGGGACACGAATCAGATCAGGGGGTCAGGATTGAACTGGGAACCCGGTAGGGAGTTTTGTGTGTGTGTGTGTGTGTGTGTGTGTGTGTGTGTTGTGTGTGTGTGTGTGTGTGTGTGTGTTTAGCAGAAGAATGCATCCTAATGTGGGGCAGAGTTCCTTGTTGGGAAGGAATGCAGAGGTGGTGGAAACCCAGAATTGGCAGTCCTTCCTCCCTCTCCCTTCTCGGGAAATGAAATAACCCGGACATGTGGGGGCCTCTCCTAGGAGCCATGAAGCAATGTGCAATGTTTTGCCCAGAGGAAGAAGAAGGAAATGATGGAATTCAGACATCTGTCCTGCTCACCACCCCATGAAGTTCCATAGGGAGAGTGGCCATATAGTTAATCAACCAAACTGGGACATTCCTAACAGTGAAAGGGACAATATTTGTAAACTGGGACTGACCCTGCAGAGAACAACCACCCGTAAGTGGCACACCCACCTTCTGGCCAGAACTGAGTGATCTGTGATTATTGAATGCAACAAACACCCAACAATGGCCAGAGATTCCCTGAGAATGGGACCGAGGCAGCAGCCTGGACATGGGGGAGACAGGGCAAGGCTGGCAGAGAGACGCTTGTGGCTGGCGGTAAGCTCTCCCCGTCACCCAGCTTTGCAATGGCTGCTTCTAGCGTCTCCTCCTGCATCTCAGCAGAGATATTCCTGGATCACAGCCAGGAGACCTAGGCTCTTGTTGCTGCCTGGCCACATCCCTAAATGAGTCTCTTCCCCTCTCCCTGCCTCAGTTTTCCTCTCTGTTAAGTGGGATCTGTTATCCCTGCAGCACCCCATCTGTTTTCCTGTTAAATGCAAGACATTATTCTAAAGCAAAAAGGAACTGCTTCAGAGCGGCTGCTTGCGGTTCTCAACACCAGGAGACTTGGAACGCGGCAGGGAGGCTGGAGGGGCACCTGAGGACAGGGGCTGAGAGGGGAGGCAGAGGATGCCAGAGGGGACCGAGCCCATTGCCCAGCACAGGGAAGACCCAATGACTGGAGAATGGAAAATCCACTTCCCACCCTGAGCTTGGGCCCCCAGAGAGGAGGGGTCTGGCTTGCCCAGCTCTCCCTCAGTGCCCAGCCTGGGTCTGACTCAGCACAGCTGCTCCAAGGGAAACAGAGGCTTGGTGCTGCAAACATGGCCCGAGATAGATGCGGGCTTCCAACTCAACTCTGCACCCGTCCCTGTGTGACGCCCCAGCAGGGCGCTTGACTTCTTTGAGCCTCAGCTCAGTTTTCTTGCTGTGAAATTAGACAAGCGCATATTGCTCCAAATAAGATCAAGGCAGTGTTCAGTGCCAGCCCTGCACAAACAGCAGCCCGGCTATCACCATGAATGGTGTTTGTTGACTGAATATATGAGGGCTTTGGATAACATTGACAGGACAGGAGAAGGGAGAAGGCCTCTCAGCCACCACCGCCAAGCCCGGGACTCTCCCAGACCCCTCCATGCTCCCGGGCTCCTGCACACCCCACCCACACCCGGCTCATACCGCCCAGGGTGGCAAAGAAGCCCTCCAAATTGCATCCTGTGGGCCCGAAGACGAAGTATCCATGCAGAGAGGTGTAGAGGGTGCTGGTGAAGCCACCTAGGACCATGAAGAGGTCAGCCACGGCTAGGTTGAGCAGGATGTAGTTGAGAGGCGTGCGCAGCTTCTTGTGCTGGACGGTGACGTAGAGCGTGAGGAAGTTGATGGGGAAGCCCAGCACGATCAGCAGAAACATGTAGGCGGCCAGCATGGAGAACTGCCATGGCTCAGCCAGGTAGTACTGTGGGTACTCGAAGGGGCTGCGTACCACACCCGTCGCATTGGAGAAGGGCACGTAGAAGTTAGGGCCTTCTGTGCCATTCATGGCTGTGGCCCTTGTGGCTGACCCGTGGCTGCTCCCACCCAAGAATGCTGCGAAGGCCTGAGCTCAGCCACTCAGGGCTCCAGCTGGATGACTCTGGGTTCTGACCCCCCCAGACCCTTATAAAGTGACCTCCCCCTCCTAAGCTCCTGGCTGAATCAGCATCTGGGAGATTGGGGGTGTTCATAATCATATTAATCCCCGCTGCAGAAACTGAGGGCCTAATTGGCTTCTAAGAGGGGCCAAGGTGACACTAGGAGGAAGCCTGAGGTCAGGGAGGAGAGGTACTCAGGATCCAGGAAAAGGGAGGAGAAGGTCCCCTAACTTCTGCATGACTTGTCTGTCCCAAGGTCCCAGCTCAGTCTGGTGGCCTGGGTTTGAAATAGGGACCATGGGCCTCTGTGCTATGTCCTCTGGACAGCTAGAGACTTTCTGGTTTATTCTCCCAGTCTCTCATCTCGTCACACAGCCCCTTACCTGTTCGTTCCCCCACAAGTTACCTCTGGAGTCATCCAGTCCCCACACTCCTCTGACAGGAGGAGCTCCATGAGGGCAGGGGCTGCAACCTGCAGCTTCCGTTTCTGGTGCCAGACACATAGCCTAGGGCCCAGGAGCCCAATCCTTGTTGCATGGAATTGGAATTCACTCTCTTGTTCGTTCATTAAACATTTATTTGCAGGCCCCTGGGAATACAAAGATGGAAAGAAACAGCCCTGCCCAGAGGAGCTCAGGGGCTGAGGAGGACTCAAATGTGGGAAGAAGCAGATTCCGTCCAGGGTGGCTGTGAGGTTGTGGAGACAGGGCCTGACTGCCTGGGGGTTGCAGTCTGGGAGGCCATGTTTGGGCCTTTGAGAGAAGGAGCAGTTTGCCAGGTGGCTAGGTGGGGAAGATCTGGGCTGGGGGCAGTTGTAATGGGTCTTGAACGCTAGGCCGGGGAACCTGGCTTTATCCAGAGGAAAGTGAGCAGTGGCTTGGGCAGATCACTGGTGTAGAAAGGTGACTCAAATGCCCCCAAAGATGGAGTGGAGGGAGGGAGGATGGAGGGGGCTACCAGAGCAGGGGAGGGGCAGAACCCTTCAGGGGACTCCAGTCTGAAGGGGAGGCTGGCCCTGGAGGCAGCAGACAGGGCACTGTTGGGGGAGGCCTAATCAGCCACGAGGGCCTCAAATGCCATGTACCAGGTGGCCCCACGAGGGCCGATTCCAGAATAGCAGGATGTACCGTGAGAAAGAAAGTAGTCAGAGCCTTGGGGGCAGATGACTGGGGGAAAATGGAGGCCAACACTGGCAGGTCCCCCTCTCCCCGTCGTCCAAGCAACATGATGACACCTCCCAGGAATGAAGTGGGGTGTCTGGGGCGGCCTGTGCAAGTGCTGAGAGTGCCCGACGTGCGGCCGCTCAGTGACCACTGTCCAGCCAACATGTGTATTGAGCACCTACTGTGGCCCAGACAAGGTGCTTGGTCCTTGGGGACACACAGGGTACACGAAAGAGCAAGCTCCTGCTCACAAGAAGCCAGTGTTTTTGTGGGGTGAGGGGGCACAGGGACCACAAACAAATAGAAGAGCGAATAACAGTAGGGACAGTTCAGTCGCAGCCACTCCCAACACAGGAGGCTTCTCTGAGAAGCTGGAGCTTGAGCTGAGAACGGAACAACAGGAGGAAGCTTCAGGGGAAGGACATCCAGGCGGAAGGACCCCTGAGAGTGCAAAGCCCTGATGCCTGGGAAATATCCCTTAATCTCTCTCTCACTGTCTCTCTTCCCACCCAGGATTCCCAGATCTGTCTGCTCAGAAGAGTGCCCCCTTCCCTGCAGCCCACCTGGGCTCCAGCCCCCTACCTGGCCTGGGTGGTGTTGGGTCTAACAGCGTTTGGCACACGTGGCAGGGCTAAGGCAGGGCGGGTGGGATGGGGCCTCTCGTAGTTTAAGGCGCTTGGCCTGGTGATTATGCCCAACGCTAATGAGGTTAAGGTGAGGGTTTGATTCTGACGTGGACCCTCATGGCCAGAAGGAGGGTGTCCTGGATGCCTTGGGTCAAGACTGACCCACAACTGGCCCCTCCCTGGCCGGGCTGAGCCCCCATCCCACACAGCTTAGCAGTACCTCAGCATCTTGCTTTTTGCATAGTGCTTCTGACAGCATGGAAGCTTTTTATTTGTGTTTTGTGCCCGTCTCCCTGCCTGTAACATGAGTCCACAAGGGTAAGCCTGGGTCTGTCTTGCTCACAACAGGGTTCCCAGAGACCAGCATGGTGCTTGGCCTGTAGTGGAAAGAGGTGGGATGATGTCTGTTTTGTTCACTGATGTGTCTCCAGGGCCTGGCACCTAGAAGGTGCTCCTGAATATTTGTTGAATGAACGAGTGAGTGGGGGAATGGACCTAGATGATCTCAGTACTTCCCCTCTCTGTCTCAGGTTCCTCCTTTGTGAGTTTCACAATTGCAACCTCATGGAGCCCTGGTGATGGGGAACTAACAGCCATCACTGAGGTGACAGTGCTCTTTATTCTGTAAAGCTTGACGAAGAAAAAAAAAGTTTTGAGACAAGGTCTCTGTCGCCCAGGCTGGAGTGCAGTGCCACAATCATAGCTCACTGTAGCCTCTGCCTCCTGGGCTCAAGCGATCCTCTCACCTCAGCCTCCTGAGTAGCTGGGACCACAAGTGCACACCACTAGTTTTTGTATTTTTTGTAGGGGTGGAGTCTCGCTATGTTGCCCAGGCTGGTCCTGAACTCCTGGCTCAAGCGATCCACCCTCCTCGGCCTCCCAAAGTGCCAGGATTATAGGAGTGAACCACCGTGTCCGGCCCAAGAAATTTTTTTTTAAACAAAAAATGCTCTTTGTTCAGGAAAACAGACTCATAGTGAGCTGGAAGGGTCATTCGAAGTCACCTACTCTGACCATCTCTGCTATATCCATTTTGCAGATGAAAAGACTGAGGCCTAGCTCTGCAGAGTTGCTCAGGTCCCGTTACAAATCAGTGACAGCCTGGGCTATAACCCACACAGTCAACTGGGCTTCCTGGGGTATCAGCTTCCCAAACCTGGCTATGCCTCCCTCCCCTCATCAAAGATAGCTCTCAGGAAAGACCAGCCAGCCATTCACACCATGGTATAAATGACTAAAGAAAGGTTTAGCTGGGGTAATGGAAAGGCCCTAGACTGAGTCACACAGGCCTGGCGTGGGGCAGTGGAAGCCTCGAGGAGAGGAGGCTGGATTCTAGCTGGTCTTTGAGTCACCATGGTAGTCCTGCTTCCTTCCCCTCTCTGGGCCTCAGTTTGCTCAGACGAGGAAGCCTCAGTGTGGGGTAGGGGCACACCCATCTATACAGTAAACCTCACCTGCTTTCTCCATGAGAGCCTGGTTCGTGAATCTTTAGACCCTATGGCCTTGGTTTCACTGTTCTCCCTCATTGGGCAAGGCTCTTTTCCACCCACCCTTACATCTGGACTGAGGCTACACAGCCTGGGTGCAGCCAGCTACCCCGCCCTCCCGAGAGTGTGCTTCGGTTCTCCACTCTGTAAAATGGGAATGATAATAGTGCCTACCTAATAGGATTATTGGGAGTGCTTGTAAGTGATCAATATATTTGTTGCTGACAGTATTAATCTCTTCCTGAGTCTCCTTCAGGTCTCCGCTCACACTCATGTCCTTGGAGAGACCACCCCTGACCATCCTACACACCAGGCACCCCCACCAGGTTTAGCTGTTTTGAGACAGGGTCTCACTCTGTCACCCAAGCTGGAGTGCAGTGGTGTGATCTTGGCTCACTGCAACCTCCTCTTCCTGGGTTCAAGCGATTCTCCTGCCTTAGCCTCCCAAGTAACCAGGACTACAGGCATGTACTGCCATGCCTGGCTAATTTTTATATTTTTAGTACAGACAGGATTTTGCCATGTTAGCCAGGCTGGTCTCTAACTCCTGATCTCAAGTGATCCATCCGCCTCGGCCTCCCAAAGTGCTGGGGTTACAGGCGTGAGCCACCACACCTGGCCTATTGTTTTTTGAGACAGGGTATCACTCTGTGACTCAGGTTGGAGTGCAGCGGCATGATCATGGCTCACTGCAGCCTCAACCTCCTGGGCTCAAGCGGTCCACCACCTCAACCCCTGAGTAGCTGGGACCATTGGTGTGTGCCACCATGCCTGGCTAATTTATTTTCATTTTTGTAGAGTTGGGCTCTCCCTATATTGTCCAAGCTGTTCTCTAACTCCCAGGCTCAAGTGATCCTCCTGCCTTGGGAGCCACTTGGGAGGCTGTAATCTCAGCCTCCCAAAGTGCTGAGATTATAGGTGTGAGCAACCACACCCAGCCATGTTCAGTTTTTACACAGTCATTACCATCAGCGACTATCTCATTTGTCTTCTTAAAACAATTTTTAAATGTTTTTTAGAGATGAGTCTTGCTCTGTTGCCCAGGCTGGAGTGCAGTGGCGCAATCATAGCTTACTGCAGCCTTGAATTCCTGTCCTAGGCTCAAGTGATCCTCCTACCTCAGCATCCCGAGTAACTGGGTCTACAGGCATGCCACCACACCTGGCCTCATTTGTCTACTTATTGACTGACTTCCCATCTATTTCTAGAATGCAGGACCAGCCTGGCCTGTTCATCGCTGCCTCTGAGCTCACAACCCATAGGAGGTGTTCAATAAACATTTGTTGAATGAATGAACAACTCCTCCTGCCCCCTATGAAGAGGGTCTAACTCCCCACTGACCACTGAGGAATCTGGGGTATGCAGGGTCAAAGTTCCTCTGCAGAGCTGGGATTTGAACACAGGCCTGGCCAGCACCCACACCTTGTGTCGGGCAGTCCAGAGAAACCCATGGTGTGGGTGTTGGCCAAGCTGGCATGTGGGGGGCTTTCTAAGCCAAGATGGCTGGATGCAGCCATCTTGGGGCACCCGAGTCCCAGCCCTCGGGAGCCCGGCTAGGGGCTTTGCCTTTGCCTCGGTGGATTAGGGGCTTAGCTTGCAGGGCACAAATCGCTCTTCAGCCTCTGCAAGAGAGGAGCTGCTGTGAGAGGAGCTGCTAGGTCAGCATCCTTCTCCTCCTTCTCCTCCTCCTCCTCCTCTTCCTTGGCTTTCTTTCTCCTGGTCCCCCACATGGCTCAGCCCCACCAGGCTGCGTCACCAAGGCTACATGAGGCCTTCAGCGGTACTGAGAGCATCAAGGGGGAATAAGGGAGGGAGAAAGACCAGCTCTCATTCCCTCCTTCCTCTTTCTCTTTTCTACCCTAGCATTTGCCAAACTCCTTATATGCGCCAGGCCCTGGGGACGCTGAGGTGGATCCCACATGGTTCCTGCTTTCAAGGGGCTCCCAGTCTCAGGGGGTACTGATCGGAAACTAAACATGAGAGATGAGCATTTTCTCCCAGTCCCAGTGCTGTGGGAGCCCAGAGGAGCAAAAGGTGGACCAGGAGGGTCAAAAGAGTCTCCCAAGCAGGGCAGGTAGGGAGGGCCAGCTGGGCCTGGAGGTGCTGGGCCCCCCAGGGTGGCGTGCTGGGGATAGAGGGCAGGCCTAGGGGTCTGGGTGTTGGCTGAATTGCATGGGCAGCTACTGCGGGTGGCAAGCAGGGAGGGCCATGACGAGGTCTCCATACCAGGCCAGTGTTCTGGATCTGCAGGGGGAGAATCAGGGAGGCTCGGGGTAAGCACCCTGCCCAGTGGTGGCCTCTGCTGTGGGCACACAGACTCCAAGCCAGGGAAGAGACACAGAGCGACCTTGGAGGAGGGGCCTCTGCCCACCTGTGTGACAGCCACCAGGGGCTCCTAGCTTCACAGCCTTGCTGGGGACAGATGGGAAACCAAGGCCCGGGGACCTCCAGCTGCCTGAGGTGCGTCTCCAGTCAGGTCCACCTGAGGCTGCTCAGTCTACCTCTCCCTTACTTCCTCCTTCCAAGAACATGGGCACAATGTTGAGCACTTGGAGATGAGAGATCAGGACCAGTCCCAGTCAGATGGGGTCTCCCTATATTGTCTGAGCTGGTCTCTAACTCCCGGCTCAAGCGATCCTCCTGCCTTGGCCTCCCAAAGTGCTGAGATTACAGGTGTGAGCGACCACACCCAGCCATGTTCAGTTTTTACACAGCCATTACGATCAACAGTTATCTCATTTGTCTTCTTAAAACAATTTTTAAATGTTGTTTAGAGATGAATGTTGCTCTGTTGCCCAGGCTGGAGTGCAGTGGTGCAATCATAGCTTACTGCAGCCTTGAATTCCTGTCCTTGGCTCAATTGATCCTTCCACCTCAGCCTCCTGAGTAGTTGGGACTACAGGCTAAAGGCCAGAATCACTGCCCCACCGTGCAGCCTTCAGCAGCTGCTCCTCTCTGGCCTCAGTGTCCTCTTAGTTCAATGGGCATCACCAGGTCCCTGTGGTGCCTTCCTTGTCACAGGCACTTGAGGGGTCAACAGGATCATCATCCAGCGCTGTTCACAGACGCAGACTGAGGCTGGAACCTCAGAGTCAGAGCTGGAGGGGGCCCTTTTGTGCAGATGGGGAAACAGCCTTGGAGAAAAGACTGGACTTGGTTCAGACCCAGATCAGGCTGAGAGAGAAAAGCAGCCAGACACAGGGCTTATGCACAAAGGTTGCACCCAGGTGCGACCAAATATGCCTTGGCTTAATGCATATTTGCTGAATGAAAAATAACATGACTGAGGCTCAGTGTCATCACCTGTGTAATAGGCAGCCTTGGATGATGCACGGAAAGTGCATCTGAATGAATAGGGGTCCTACTCAGGCCTCTAGAGCTGAGCTTCCTGGGGCAGCAGAGCCCGGCACAGCACACTCATTTTTGTGTTCTTCGGCTGAGGGGATGCATGCTGGAGTCTCGGCTGGAACCCTCCCCTGCCTCCAGCCAGGGACCATCTGATCTGTCACTGTGATTGACTGCTGGGTAGCTGGAGCTGTTTTCTCCCTCTCCCCTTTTTCCCAGCCATATGCAAATGATTTCAGTTGAAGTCATGCGCTAATGGAAATCCTAACACATTAATAAATGTTTAGTGAGAGAGCGCATGCATGATGGTAAGTAATTAGACACTCGACGGAGGAGTTCTGTTGGCACAACTGTCTGGCTCCCTTTCTTTATTTTCCTCCATCATCTCCAGAGAGATGCGGAGGGAGGCAGGGAGGAGGGGCGGTCTGGGGTGGGGCAAGGGCTCTGGGATGGGGCTCTAGCTCCGACACTTCCCACTGGGGGCCTCTGCAGCCACTCTCCTTGGGGTCTCAGTGTCTGCGTCCCTCCAGTGGGCATATTTGCCCTGCCCTGACCCCTGCACAGGTAGGTTGTAAGGAATCAATACTGCAGCACGAGGGGAGGGTGCGTTTCGGCATGGCATGACAGCCCACACCCTCTCTCCTGCCTGTGCCAGCTGTTCTTGGGCTTTTCATGAAGTGCTGCATTGCCACCTCTGGCAGGTGGACTGGGGGTGAAAGGGGCAGGGCCTTGGGGCTGGACACATCATGGGCCGCCCCTCCCAGGGCTGGAGGCAGCCCCTGGGCCCTGGCAACCCCCTTCCCAGCCCCACTGGAAATCATAACTCTTCCTTCACAGGGCTGCTGAGAGGCCTGAGACAGCATGGAACGTGGCTGGTGCCAAAAACGTCCCCCATACATGTGAGTTCTCCTTAGCTTCTGTGTGCTGTTCCTTCCATGCCCTCAAGCTGTTGGACTGGACACCAGTGATGCCTGAGGGAACAGACCTTGGCAGTCTGGAATCTCAAACGGAAACCCCCTGCTTAAGGAGCTGTTCCAAAGGGAAGAGTCTCCATTGGGCTGGGGCTGCTCTGTGGGGCTGGGGAAGGTGGATGGAAGAGGGCGGCTCCAGAGCCTGGACAGGAGCCTTGACTGGGCTACCAAACAGGAGCCTTTTTTTAAACTCCTGCCATCTTCTTTGGACCCACGTATTTTCTCTTGTCAAGATGGATCCCCATTAAATCAAAATAAATAAACAAAAAAACCCCCTGCTCCCCCACCCCTTTCTATATTGCCATTTTGATTAAATGTTAAGAGCACACAAATGTAATGTTCCTTTCAAATTAGAAACAGGTGCACTTTTGCATACGGAAATTAAGTTGCAGACAATAAGATGATTTGCTAAAATGTAGATGCTGATGAAAATAAGGAGCCCTTTTGTCATTATTGAGGCAATCTGTTGGCAAAATGTACATGCTAACGGTCTGACAGATCGGCGGACTCCAGCAGGCTGCCACGAACAACTCGGAGCCGTTCTGAAAGTAACAGATTTTTTTCCTTAGAAAATATATGTACATTCTCTTCCTCATCTCCTGGTGCTATTTACAAGGCATGAAATGCCATAAATAGGAATTCCGTGGTTACACAAGGCCCCCCCCACAAAACACAAACTTCATCTGGGCAAGAAACACATTCTGACAGTTTAACTCTTTATTCTCCTTCACAGCCCAGCAGACCCCAAGGCGGGCAGAGGGTGCAGGCCGTCCCCAGGATGCTGGTCATGGGCCAGGGTCATCCTTGCACCTGCGGCAGTAGGGGCAGCAGCCATGCTGAAGCACCAGCAACTCATAGTCCTCAGAATGGAACATCTAAGGGAAGACAGCTGTAAGACCAGGCTGAAGCCCTAGTGCTCATCAGCCCTACGCCTGGGGCCAGGACGCACTGCCTCTCAAGGGGAGGGGGCTTGGCAGTGGTCAGGGCTGGACACAGACCTGCAGCACCTTTGTTTGAGGGCTGGAAGGGGAGATGGGAGGGGGCTGTGGGGTTTCTTGTTTTCTGAGTGAAGGTCAAGGGCACATCACGCTTGCTGGGCCCCCAGGATTTGGGGAGGATGTGGACAGCGCAGGGGCCAGTGAAGTCCACTTTAGATGCACATGGAATGCAAGCAGGGGAGAGGACAGACAAGCCTCTGTCCCAACTTGGAGCCATGGATGTGCCCCTCCTCCCAGGGGCCACGCCTCCCAGAGGGACATTTGGGCAAGGGAAAAGTGGCCAAGAGAAGCACATGTGAGCTACCAGGGTGGCCACCTACCTGGAAGCAGGAGGGGCACATGGTAATGGAGGCGTCAGGCAGCAGTGAGCGGAAGTATTGCCACCTCAGGGGTGGGGGCCATCGCTTGATGAGGACATCCCGGCGGCTCATGGAGCGCAGCACCAGCCGGCTCACCACCACTGGCACGAACTCTGAGCCACCTTGCTGCAGGGTGGGCGGGAAGGAGGCACAGTGTCCTCACTCAGCCACAGTGAGACATCTGTGTGGATTATGATCCTGGAATCTTTGGCAGTGGTGAGAGAGGACCTGCTTCCTAAACCCAGGTGACCCTAACAGTGGCAAGCTCCTCCCACCAGAGCTGAAGCTGCCTCCCTGTCCACAGACCTGCGCCCTTGGCCATGGTCCCTCGGGGGCAGCCATGGCTCCCACACCCCACAGGAAGGGGTCCTGCCCCTCCTTCGTGCCACCACATCTGGAAGTTCTGGCCAATCCTCCTCCACCACTGCGCTAGCTGAGGGTCCCCATGTGCACAGGAGAAGGGATGGAGGCTGCCCTCCTGCAGGTCACCCAGAGAGGCACCCTCACCTCAAAGCTCAGCTTAGCTGTGAACGGGTCCTCATCTCCGATGGAGTCCTTGGTCTCCACTAGCCGCAGAATCTGGGAGCCTGGAGGGATCTGGTCAAGGATGGAATCAGAAGCAGAGATGGAGACAGACCCTAGCCTCCACCCTACACCCCTGTGAGAAGACTCAAGGGCAGCCAGACCAGTGGAAGAGTTTTCCAGGTGGAGGAACAGAGGGGGCTCAGGCCAAGGAATCAGAAGGAAGGGACTCTGCTGGCCCTGCTGCCCTCACCCATTCCCCTCGCAGGCCACACACACCATAGCTCCCAGGGCCAGTGGGAAGCACATGCGGGCCCTGTGAGCCACTGCGGGTAGGCACGGAGGGGATGGGCCCAGGGATCCTGGAGAAACATTCAGTGGCTGCTGGGGGTCTGCGGGCACTTGTGATGGAGCAGACAGGGGCGAGAGTCCCTGCTGACCCCAGGGCGGGTCAGACTCACCTGGAGGTCCCTGGAAACCGCCCCTCTCCCACAGTGGTGGGGCTGGTAACAGAGGCCAGCAGGGGTCCTGCAGGGAGGCCCAGGACATGGGGACTGCTGGTACCAAGTTGGAGTGGGCACAGCACCCACCTGCCAGCACCATAGCACATATCATCTGTGGCACCTGAGGGAGCCTGGGTGGCAGAGATGGGTCCGTCTTTCCTTCAGCAAGCAGCTCTCTGAGCTTCCCTCCTCCCAGTGTGGCCCCTGGGGGTGGCAGCACCTGGGAGCTGCAAGGAAGGCAGGCTTACAGCCCCCAGGCCTGCAGACTCAGTCAGTGCAAGGGAGCGAGGCCTCAGGCCACGTGTGTGCTGTTCCCTGCCAGAAGCCCCTCCCATGTCCAGCCTGCAAGTGTGGCCTGCCCTGGACAACTGCCCTGGTGCATCCTCCTGGCCAAGGGGCAGGCTGAGCTGTGCCCCGGGGCTTTCACTGCCACAGCTGAGAGGAAAGCTGGCTGTTTCTGGGGGCTATAAGGCTGAGGGGATGTGGGGCTGGCACTGCTCCTGACATCTCTGTGTTATGGGGGCACCACGGGGCTGCCAAAGAATGAAGTTGCCCAGAGGACAGTGCGGCCAAGAGAGGCAGAGCCAGCCTGTGACCGACCAGACTGAGCGCTGGGCCAGGAAGCTTCCTCTCCTGCTTGGGGCTTCCTTGCACACCCTTTGCTTGTTCAGCTTGTCAGTTTTGGACTCTGTCACTTGCATGCGAAAGTGACTTGAGTGGAAGAGCTGGGGGCCAACACCGACATCATGACATCATGTCCCATGTTGGCTATGCAGGAGCTATGCACAGACAGAGGCACAGCCAGTGCCTTTTAGGGGTCAGGGGAGGGTGGGAGACCCACACGGGAAGACCAAGGTGCCACTTGCCACTTCTGGGTCCTTAGGCCCTGGCCAGCTGTCTGCCCATCTCTGATCCCTGTCCCTGTCCCATGTGGGCCTCTCCAATCTCTCTGGGAACACAGGGCCAGGCTCAGCATGGCCCGCGATCCCCTGGGACTGGGCCCTCCTACTTCCCGCCTGTCCCCAGACCCCTCACACAGCCGCACACACAGGCTCTGGCCAAGGGCATGGATACTGTTGTTTGCAATCTCTAGCTGTCTGTCATCCCGCTTGGGTCTCAGCACCTCCAGGTCGATGAGGGAGATGGCTTCTTCATCAGTGATCCCTTCCTCCAGGTAGAACTCAACCAGGTGTAGCACGTCTGGAGGGCATAGAGAAAGGGCTGAGGGGGCTGGAGGCCTTGCAAAGGACTTGCCGCCAGGCAGGTGGGGTGACCACAGAGTTGCTTCTCAACCCACTGGCAGCTTCACCAAAAGCAAGAAGAGGCAGCAGGGGCAGTCTCTGTATGTGTGTGCAGGAGCAGTCTCTGTGTGTGTGTGTGTGTGTGTGTGTGTGTGTGTGCAGGAGCAATGTGTGTGTGTGCAGGGGCAGTTTCTGTGTGTGTGTGTGTGCAGGGGCAGTCTGTGTGTGTGTGTAGGGGCAGTCTCTGTGTGTGTGCAGAGGCAGTCTCCGTGTGTGTGCAGGGGCAGTCTCCATGTGTGTGTGCAGGAGCGGTCTCTGTGTGTCTGTGTGCAGGGGCAGTCTCTGTGTGTGTGTGCAGGGGCAGTCTGTGTGTGTGTGTGTGTGTGTGCAGGAGCAATCTGTGTGTGTGCAGGGGCAGTTTCTGTGTGTGTGTGTGTGCAGGGGCAGTCTGTGTGTGTGTGTGTAGGGGCAGTCTCTGTGTGTGTGCAGGGGCAGTCTCCGTGTGTGTGCAGGAGCGGTCTCTGTGTGTCTGTGTGCAGGAGCGGTCTGTGTGTGTGCAGGGGCAGCCTCTGTGTGTGTGTGTGTGCAGGGGCAGTCTCTGTGTGTGTGTGCAGGGGCAGTCTCTGTGTGTGTGCAGGAGCGGTCTCTGTGTGTCTGTGTGCAGGGGCAGTCTGTGTGTGTGTGTGCAGGGGCAGTCTCTCTGTGTGTGTGTGTGTGTGTGTGTGTGTGTGTGCAGGAGCAATCTGTGTGTGTGCAGGGGCAGTTTCTGTGTGTGTGTGTAGGGGCAGTCTCCGTGTGTGTGTGTGTGTGCAGGGGCAGTCTCTGTGTGTGTGCAGGGGCAGTCTCTCTGTGTGTGTGTGTGTGCAGGAGCAATCTGTGTGTGTGCAGGGGCAGTCTCTGTGTGTGCACGCAGGGGCAGTCTCCATGTGTGTGTGCAGGGGCAGTCTCCATGTGTGTGTGCAGGGGCGGTCTCTGTGTGTGTGGGCAGGGGCAGTCTGTGTGTGTGTGCAGGGGCAGTCTCTGTATGTGTGTGCAGGAGCAGTCTCTGTGTGTGTGTGCAGGGGCAGTCTCTGTGTGTGTGTGCAGGGGCAGTCTCTGTGTGTGTGCAGGGGCAGTCTCTGTGTGTGTGTGTGTGTGTGTGCAGGAGCAATCTGTGTGTGTGTAGGGGCAGTCTGTGTGTGCACGCAGGGGCAGTCTGTGTGTGTGTGCAGAGGCAGTCTCCGTGTGTGTGCAGGGGCGGTTTCTGTGTGTGTGTGTGCAGGGGCGGTCTCTGTGTGTGTGTGCAGGGGCAGTCTCTGTGTGTGCAGGGGCAGTCTGTGTGTGTGTGTGCAGGAGCAGTCTGTGTGTGTGTTCAGGGACAGTCTGTGTGTGTGTGTGCAGGGGCAGTTTCTGTATGTGTGTGTGTGCAGGGGCAGTCTGTGTGTGCGTGTGTGTCTGTGTGTGTGTGTGGCCTCTGCTCAGCTCCTGGGAAGGGGCTTCTGATCCTCTGTCAACATCAAAGGAGCTGGGCCTTGATAACCTATCTCAGCCTCCTGGTCTGAATGCAAAGCCATCGGACTCTCTTTCTGGGGCATTTGGTTATGTAAAGCCCTGCGCCAGGTTCCCAGAGTGGGTGCTTCAGCTTTGGGCAGCAGTGGGTCCTATCTCTGGGAACACCGACAGTGACTCCTTGTGTCAGGTAGGTGGGCGTCAGAGTGTCCTCATTTCATAAACAGGGACATTCAGAGGCCTTTGGCCCTTGCCCAACGTCCTGAGGCCAGAGAGCAGTGGAGTGAGCCTGGCTGTCCACAGGCTGTCCCACCCACATGCTCAGGATGCAGGGACTCACCGTAGGAAGAGGCGGAGAAGATGAAGGGCTGGCGGCAGTTGATGCAGACGTTGCCCAGGTTGTTGAGCAGCGGGTTGTTGGTGGAGCAGCGGTAGCACAAGGGCACCAACTCCTACAAAACAGCCACGGACTCCCGAGGGGCCGGGGCAGGCACGTGTCCTCCTCCCCCTGGACTCTGGCTTCAGGCCCCTGGGGCCTGGCTGCCAAGAGGAAAGGCCACCCGGGTGGGCAGGCAGGGAAGGGGCGCCGGGCCCAGGAGCTCCATGCCATGGGGAAGCAGGATAAAGGCCTGCCGAAATACCCAAGCCCTGTCACTTGGGTCCCCGTGCCCAAGACACCTGCACAGGCAGCGCTCAACGGCACTTTTCCCCTGGCAGGAATGACAGTGGCCGCTGCCACCATTAGCCAGCCATTTACCATGCTCCGGGCACCGTGCGGAGCACGTGGACTATACTGGCTCATTTAGCCTCACAACTACCTGTGGGAAAGGGGGAACCCAAGGTGCAGAAAGATGGAGACAGAGCTAGGAGAGGGTGGAGCCGGGATGTGAACCCAGGTCTGTCTGAACCAAGTCCTTGCTCTGAGCTTGAGGGAGGATGTGTGAAAGAAGGAAGCTGGCTGGGTTGAAGGAATGTGGGTTGGGAGTGTGGGGTAGATTTGCTGGAGAACTACAGCCTGGTTCCAGAAAGGGCAGAGGTTTCTAGAGTAAGAGTCAGCTCTGGGGCCAGGCCTGGGGTAAAGGCAGAGCCACCTGGGCACAGAGGTGTGGGGCTTGCCTAGGGGAGGGCAAGGAGCAAGGGAGGCCAGGCTGAGGGCTGAGGCCGGGGCCGGGGGCTGTGAGCGGGCGCCAGGTGGACTGCGGGGAGAACAGGAGGTGGACAGGGAAGCACAGGGGAGCTGGCATGGCCAGGCTTGAGCAGGGGGCACAGAGCCTAGAGGGAGCTGCAGCTGTCTCTCTTCAAACGGAACCCAGGCCAGGCAAGAAGGCATGAGATGGCCTCAAGGGAGAGGAGAAGCCACCTGCCCAAGGGTGCTGCATCCTCACCTCACTGTCGTGGAAGGGCTTGGCGCGGATGGTCAGGGTACCCAGCTCAATGGACTTTTGGAATCTGGCAGGGATGTACAGGCCACGCAGCTTGTCATAGGCGTGCCGGGCCAGCCTGTAGGCACCGAGGGCCTTGCTCTGCTTGGCCAAGGTGAAGAGTATTTTCCTGCCGTGAACAGGGTTAAGGACAGCAGGGGCAACACCAGGCCCAGGAGCTGGCACTGCCTGTCCTTGGAGTGAGCCCCAGGCTGGAACACAGCTTGTGCTGGTGCCGGGAAGGCAGAGGAAAGACCGTGAGGAAGGCTCTGTGCGCTTGTGAGAGGTGAGTGTACTTCTCGGATGGCAAGGCCCAGGAATTTTTCCAAAGATAAAAACAGCGTAGTTTCCATTAATACTTTAACCTTGCTTAGCATCTCTGGGCCTGCTGATGGCTCATCTTATACCCTGACTAGGCCAAAATGGCTCTTCCTGCCTCACCAAACCTGCCAGCCAGGCCCTCCTAGGATGCCTGGCACAAAGGGCACTCTGCTCTCACCCTGCCAGGTGGGGCCTGGTCCAGACTCCCTGGGGAGCCACCCTCAACCCTGCTCTGAGGCCCCTGGGTGTACCCCACTCTGTCTGCACACCCTTCCCCGAGGGCCTGGTGGGCAGTTTCTGAGCGGCAGCCTGTGCTCTGGGGCCCCCTTGAAGCTCCTCAGCCAGAGGCTGACGAGCCTTTGTGCTCTCCTCTCAGGTCACCTCCGATGTTGGCTGCCCCCAGGCCCTCCTGCCCTTCCTCCCGCATCTCTCCCAGTGTTCCTGCTCCCGCCGTCTGCAGTGCAGCCCCGTCCACTTCAGCAGTTCTGTGGAGAGTTTCCTTCTGTGTCTCCAGCATGACTCCTCAAAGTCAGGGACTGTCAGGAGCCATTTCCAGGTCCCCAGGGGATGGCACAGGGTAAGGCTCAGGGTAGAGGTTCTATCAAGCTGTTGACTCAAACAGAACTTGCTGGAAAGGATGAGTACAGGTGCTCAGCCCCCACAGGCATAGCCCTGACTGCTCCTACGGGGAAAGACGGAGACGCATGCAGCAGAGGTCTGACTCCAGGAAGGCACCCCTTGATTTGAGGGTATTTCCCCTGAAATGTACATAATGGGCCTGGAATCCTCTAGCGAGGCCAATTCTTACAACAAGGAGCTCTGGGTCTTCTCCAGTGGAGTGGGTTTTCCTTACAGAGGGAAGGTGGGGCTGCGGCTGGGAAGGAGCTGAGAGTACAGTGAGATTTAGAAAAGAACAGGGACAATTATGTCTCCTGACATCCAAGACCTTAAAAATCTGGATCATTGCCTGGTAATGATCCAGTATCTGGCTGCACAGGCCCTTCAGGCACCTGCTCTGCTTATGGTACCACTGTGGCCCTCGATGGCTACAGAAGAGAGGAAAACCCAAAGGTAGGCTCTCAGGCCTTGGGTCCTGCTGCCTCTCCGGCCCCTCCCACCCAGGGTCCCCTCACCCTCTCCCACATGCCTTGCTTGCCTCTCCATATGCTGGGTCCTCCCCTGGAACATCCACTTGGCCATCTTCCCTGGCTGCCTCAGCTTGCATGATGGACATCTCCTCCTCCAGGTAAACTTCCCTGACCATGGCCCTGACCTCAGCTTCATTCCACCCTCAGACACAGCACACATCCACCAAACCAGACCCTAACTTGTGACCTCCCTCTTTGATGGCAGCTTTGCCACCTGGTGCCTGGCCCAGGGCTTGGGGCACAGAAGGTGCTATGTATACCTGGGCTGAACAAACACTCCCTCCTCCCCAGTCTGGAGAAGTGCCCAAGGTTCCAAGCCTGAAGGCCTGGTGCTTCTTCCATTTCAGTCACACCCTCATCTGTGGGTTCTAGGAGGGATTGGGACAGTGTGTTGGCCAGAGACCCACTGCTGGGTTCAGCTCAGAGAGCCCTGAAAACTCATCTTCTCTTGGCCTGGGCCCCTGGGCCTCCCTGCTGAGCCTCTATAGCCAAACAGCAGCGGGAGGGTGAGTTCTCTGTCTTCCCTGAGGGTTGCTGAGAGAGGAAGGTTCTGCCAGGAAAGTGCTCTGGAAGGAATTTCTTGGGGCCATTAGACAAGAACGGTGGTGGGACGGAGGAGGGATAAGAGAAAGGATACACTTTAGAGATGCCCGAGGGGGTGTCCTTGGGCAGGCTGTGCAGCAGGAACCTGGAGATGTTGAAAAGAGTTTCAGGACGATGGACACTGAACGGATCTTCCTGCAGTGAGAGAAAAGCAAACAGGGATTGAGTTCTTCAAGAGCTGCTGCTGGGCCAGGCCAAAAGGCAGACACCAATAATTCTGAGTGACATCAACAAGAGCGGCTCTGATTATTGAGCACCTACTCCTACTGTGTGCTGAGCGCCATATAGCCACTGTCTCATCTGGTCTTTAACATAATAACCTTGTGGTATGCATTTTTATCCTCACAGTACTGATGAGGAAACCGACACCTAGATAGATGATTTGCCCAAGTCACCAACTAGAACAGAGCTGAGCTGCTGTTCAAACCCAGGTCTGATTCCAAAGCCCAAGAATGTCTTTCTTCCAAGCTGTACTGCCTCTGGAGTTGGTAATTATTCCATTTCTCTGAACTACTCAAGTTGTCTCCAATTAGCTCTAAAAGAGAAGACCTTCTATGCAGCTTAGGACATAACCACTGATTCATATAAGCCTGTCTTTCAACAGAGGCATTTAGCCCTCTCCAGCATGAACCCACATGCCTCTTCTGTGCTTTCCAACAGCAGCTTGACTGATGTGCCACCAAACGAGCACACATGCGGAGTTCCTCAACTGCTGACCCATTTCCCTGGCTCCTGGCATAGGCACTAACAGGAGGCAGTTAGCACAGATTAGTGATTGGTCTTCGTACCTAGAGGCTGCCAGAAGCTCAGCAGACAAATAAGGAATTTTCTGTGTGAGGGTCTACAAAAGGTTAAGAATACCTTATTTTGAAGGCATCTGGCACACTGTATATAAACTGAGATTGCCCATTTCTAATAAAGCTTTAGATGGTGAGGATTACAGCAGGCCAGTAACTCCTCTTTCTTGTGAGCACTTAAGAAGGGTCTTGTGAGGCCCTACTCATCACTGAGCCACCAAAGCTTAACCCCTAATTGGTCTGAACTCCTGAGGACTCACTTTGCTCTACACTTCTTCAGTTCAGAGCTTAGCATTTTCTATTTAGTTCACACGTAAATTTCTATACCTTTTGTTAGCTCCAAGAACCCAAGAAAACCTGAGACCACATCCTTTCCAGGGTAAGAACAAGATGAACTCTGCCTGTGGTTCTACTGCACTAGGTAGGGAAGCTAAGTAACGTCCCAGAGAGAATAGGTAGCAGGGGAGTCCTTTCCTCTGGGAAAGATGCCATGTATCCAGGAAGGACCTGAACTTCCCTTTCCAGTCTTGCCCTGAATCAGTGCTGCTCTGCTGGGCCCTGGATGCTGAACCACAAACTACCACTCACCTCCAGGCCTTTGCACAGGCTGTGACCTTTGCCACAAACACCCTTCCTAATCCTCCTCCACTTCACTTGCCCCATTTTTATTCTCTCCCTCCTTCTGGCTGAGAGGACACCTCCTCCAGGAAGTCTCTTCACAGGCCTCTAAACGTTTCCCCTGAGGGATTGTCCTGTTTGCTAGACTGGGACTGACTGCAGGGACAACGTTTTGTTCACCACCGTGTCACCAGGTCTCATCACAGGGTCTGTCACGTAGTAGGCATTTATTGAATGAAGGAATGGCCCAATTAATAAGATTCAGCTGGGATAAGAGCCAGGGCCCCAGCTGGTCTGAGGCCCCTTAGCTCCTAGTCCCATGTAGGTCCTGGAGCAGAGCTCAGCTGTTAGAGACAGGAGCCCTCAGCCCCATGCCCCAGGTGAGGAAGAGGACAGGGAGCAGCGAGAGAAAAGTCTGAGGGAAGGAGCTGAGAGCCAGGCTCTGGAGTGGCTTGGGCAAAGTGAGGCTGAGCTGGGCCCTGACTTCCAGCCTAAGTTGAGTCTGGGCTCCTTTTGTGGTGGTTTCTCTCCAGGTGAGCACCTGATAAAGATGAGGGACCCTGAGGGGGTCTCGTTTCAGGAAAGCCAAAGACTGTAAGGGAAGATGAGGTCCCTTGAGACCACTGACCCTGCTGTGGGAAGAGATGTAACACTAGACTGACGGCATGCACAGAGCCTGTCAGGAGTCCTTCTTGCCAGACTTTCCCAAGAGGCAAAAAATGTGCTGAGAAGTCAGCACAGATTAGAGGGAAAGAAATGCCCAAGGTGGAAGGCAGGGCATTTGAGAGGTCAAAGAACGGCGGGAAGGCTGGGCGTGGTGGCTCATGCCTGTAATCCCAGTGCTCTGGGAGGCTCAGGCAGGAGGATCACTTGAGTCCAGCAGTTTGAGGCTGCCATGAGCTATGATCATGACACTGCACTCCACCTTGGGCGACAGAGACCTCATCTCTGAAAAAAGAGAAATGCTAGATGCCCAGCTGGAGGGAGCAGGTCAGGGAAAGCTGGCGTGAAGCCTTGCCTGGAGCAGCAGTAAGGATAGCTGCCACCTAGGGTCACTCTGTGCTAGGTACTCTTCCAATATTAACTCGTCTAATCCTCAAAACAATCCCATCAAGTACATAGTGCTGTTATCCCTATTTTATAGAGAAAGAAGCTGAAGGCCAGAGAAGATAAGTAACACAGTGTCATTTGTGTGTGAGGACTCTCGAGTTTACCCACTAAACCAACATACTAGCCTGCTTTCTCTAAAAGGAGACAGGGAGGGAAAGGCTAGGAACACAGGCTCCAGTGCCAGACTACTGAGACTCACATATTGGCTCTGGAATTTGCTGTTTGATAGTAGAATACATTCTTAAATGTGGTTATGTTATACATCATTTCAACGGGCATTTCTCGCTTTATGTTTTTTTGCTAATGAGTTATTACTTACTGTTTATTTTAGACTATGCAAATGATGTTAGACAAAAAACAAATTCAAGCAGTTTTCTTATTTGAGTTCAAAATGGGTCATAAAGCAACAGAGACAACTCGTAACATCGACAACGCATTTGGCCCAGGAACTGCTAACAAACATACAGTGCAGTGGTGGTTCAAGAAGTTTTGCAAAGGAGATGAGAGGCTTGAAGATGAGGAGCATAGTGGCCGGCCACTGGAAGTTGACAACAACCGAGAGCAATCATCGAAGCTGATCCTCTCACAACTACAGGAGAAGTTGCCGAAGAACTCAATGTCAACCATTCTACGGTTGTTTGGCATTTGAAGCAAATTGGGAAGGTGAAAAAGCTTGATAAGTGGGTGCCTCATGAGCTGATAGAAAATGAAAATATAGTCGTTTTGAAGTGTTGTCTTTTCTTATTCTATGCAACAACAACAAAACATTTCTCAATCAGATGTGAGGTGTGACAAAAAGTGGACTTTACATGACAACCGTGATGACCAGCTCCACGGCTGGACTGAGAAAAAGCTCCAAAGCAGTTCCCAAAGCCAAACTTGCACCAAAAAAAGGTCATGATCACTGTTTGGTGGTCTGCTGCTGGTCTGATCCACTACAGTTGTCTGATCCTGGTGAAATGATTACATTTGAGAAGTATGCTCAGCAAATCGAGGAGATGCACCGAAAACTGCAACACCTGCAGCTGGCACTGGTTCACAGAAAGGGCCCAATTCTTCTCCACCCACCTGACTGCACATCACACAACCAATACTTCAAAATTTTGCCTCATCGCAATATTCACCTGACCTCTTGCTAACCAACTACCACTTCTTCAACCATCTCAACAACTTTTTGCAGGGAAAATGCTTCCACAACCAGCAGGATGCAGAAAATGCTTTCCAAGAGTTCGTCAAATCCCAAAGTATGGATTTTTATGCTACAGAAATAAACAGACTTATTTCTCATTGGCAAAAATGTGTTGATCATAATGGTTCCTATTTTAATTAATAAAGATGTGTTTGAGCCTAGTTATAATGATTTAAAATTCAGTCTGAAACCGCAATTACTTTTGCACCAACCTAATAACCTCTGAGACCTCTCTGTCTAGGGCTTCATTCTCATCTGTAACATGGGGGTGACAGTCCTTCCCTCAAAGTGTGGTTGAAAGGAGGAAATGACTTGATACAATGAAGCCCTCAGTACATTGCCTACTAGGTACTAAGTGCTCAACATCTGTTGGGTGATTGAGGAGATACAGTGGATGAAGAGGCTGTTGACAACCCATCACCTGTTCCCCATTGCCACCAGAGAGATTTAAAATGGCTTTCTCAAAGGAATCAGGGAGTGACTAAAAAGAACTACTTGGGTTTCTGGAGACCAAGCCAACACTCTAGTTTCACAGAGAAGGAAACTGAGGGACAGAGAGGGAAAGTGAATTGCTGAAGAACACACAAATCACTGACAGGGCCAGGGAGGGATCTCGAGCCTTTGGTTAATCTGGGCCTTCGCCCTACTGAAGGAGAGGGCCTCATGGAACTCCCACCCCTCTTGCTGGTTAATGCAGAGTTTCCCTGAGTCATCAAAGCCTGCACTGAGGAACTAGCAAGGCCCATTCCAGCTCTGGATCACAATTCAGGAGCCCACTGCTTGATGCATGGCAGACAAACAGTCAATCAAAGAAACTCAAACTTTTTCTTCCCAGAGGAGACCAAGATTCCTCAGCAGTTCACTGTGACCAGTGGGTTACATTCCATCCAGTCTGCTGCTCTTTAGATATGCCCGGGACCCCTAGCTCAGGAGATGGTACCCTCAGGTGCTGGTGACCCAGCCACCTTACCGTGTGGCGATGGATGGCATGGTAACCATGGTACAGCTCTGCCAAACGCTGGAAGTGGTAGAACTTGCCAAGCATTGTGTCCTTCTGGGCAGGATCTGCTGTGTGCAGCGGGTGGGAGGGGAAACGTGTCAAACAGTGTCTGTGGCTGCCAACTGGCCCCAGGAGGAGGGGCCAGGCAACAGTACTTTTCCCAGCATCAGTTCTCCCACCACACAGTGTCTGTGCCAGGGTGAGGGACAAAGTGTAGTGAGGGGAAAGCCACTCTGCTTAGGAGTAGGGCCACTCCAGGATGGTGAATTCTTAGGTGGACAGGGCATAAGGCCAGGGAGTTTGAGGATATTTTTTCCAGATCTCTCACTGCACCCTCCCAGATTATTCCCCTGGGGGAGCGACAGCTGCAGCAAGACCCAAGATGTGTCGGAAGAGCCTGCTGGGACAAAGGCAGGCAGACACCAACTGTATTCATGCTCATCTTATGCCTCTTCCCTCTGCTGCTCCTATCAGAAGCATAAGGCACTGGCCCAAACAGAAAAATGCGACCTTACACCTAGGCTTGACAATTTTCAAACTGTAAGCATGACTCTGTGAGGCTCCCAGCAACCAAAGGGACCAGGACAAGGGACTCCCACAGGACAGATGGGCATGCAGAGCTCAGGAAGGATTGTGACTTGCTACAAGTCACCTGCAGCTTCCATGCCAGTGTTTTTCCCACCCCTGCATGTGGCCTTGTCCAGTGGAGAAGAACATCTCCTTGTCTCTTCCACTTCCACTACTCCTTCAGTACATCATGGGAAGTCTTGTGAAAGAAAGCAATATTGAAACTGTTTTCCTGGCTGGGATGAGTAAGAATCTGGAGTGTGTTACTGTAAAGCCATCTCTCGTTCATCTTCTCATTTAATTAAAAAAATTTAAAACCCAGTGCTCACCCAGGTCCAGCTATGGGCTCCCAGGTAGCAGGGGAGAGATATGCTCTGAATTAGCAATGCAGGGCTGGACCTGCCAACCATAACCCCAGGACGGTCCTCATACCATTCTGATGGGCAAACTGGAAAAAGATGATACACCAGATTACGCCACTGCAAGGCAGGCTTATGGACAATACACCCAATAAACAAGCCCAGGGCTTTAATTAAAATGTCCCAGCTCTTCTGATGTTTATCTTGGTGTCAGAGTGGGGCTTGGGAAAACAGTGGTCTGGCTGATGTTTACACACCTTGAGCTATATCGAGGCACTGCATGGACAGCATCCAGTAATAATAGGCAGCATCATTAAACCTGCTCTCCGCCACGGCATTGTTTGTGAGCTGCTCCAGCACCTGGACCGCTTCTCTCTGTCGCCCAGCCTTGTGGAACGCTGTAGGAGTGGTGGAGGGAGGAAAAAAGCACATGCTATTTAGGAAGTCACACAGGAGGCAGGATGGAGCTCTGTGGGGCTTGCACAGGGCTGCTTTGGAAGTAGGACACTCATTGGAGCATCTGCAGTGCTTCGTTGCTGGGATGGCGCTTCTCTAAATAACCAAGGCTACATCCTGGAAAAAGTACAGTGAGATAAATTCCTTTTTGGCTGGGAAAAGGCGACTGACTTTGAAAAGCATGCAGAAAGGAAAAACTGGAGGGGCCAAATTCCAGGGCAAAGTCTAAGAGTGAAACTTGCTCATCTTCAGTGAGGTTCTGCCCCCTGCTCATTCCAGGGCAAAGTTTTGTGACTCCTAAGGTGATAGAAACAGGACCTGCCACTTTACTGCACTTGGAGGTAAAATGCTTTTGTTGCTAATCACCTCACTGGATCCTCACCACAGACTTATGAAGAAGGAAAATTATCCCCCTTTTTATGAGCAATGAAATGGGCTTTGCAAAATGGAGGTAAAGTGTCACACCCAAGGTCCCAGAACCAAGCCCAACTCAAGTCCTCAGTTTGTCTTCAAATGACTGCTTTTCAATGACCACTTTGAAGGATCTGCCTCAGTTATCACAACCATTTGTGAAAACAAGCAAAAAAACTCTCAATCGTTCCTATACTGTTTAACAGATATTTTCTGAGTACCTACTACGTGGCCAGCCCCTTGAGATGTTGGTGGCTGCCAGTGAAGCACTTGTAGCCATGACACTTGCCATATGAGAGCACTCAAATGATCCTAATCCTCCGCCTTCAGAGAAGGAGAAGGTCTGGCCTTTGTTCCGTTCTCATCTACAACCTCTTGTCTGAGTACCAAGTTACTATGGTGATGGATTCTTGGAAGGGCAGACACAGACAGATGGATAGGTTGATGTGTTTTGCCCAAACATGCAGATACTTCAGCAACTGGGTGCTCTGGAAATGCTGAAGCAGCAGAGAATGCGCTAACCTTCAATGAGGGCTTTCGGTTGAGGGGCTCCAACAGGGAGACATTTGTTCTGCAATGTGTCCAGAGAGGGCAACGGTTACCATATAGAAGCGTAAATCAGATGCTATGGAACATCAAACACCCAACTTCCATTAGAAGGCTAAATAGGCAGCAAAACAGAAAAATCAGGTTCCCCAGTCAGAGAGGTACTGGTCCAATTCTGGCTCTGCTGCTGACTAGATTTGTGACTTGGCATGGCACATTTAGCCTCTTCGTCCTTGCACAGCTGTTGGCAAGATTCAAGGTTACATAGGTTAAGTGCTCAGCCAGGGCCTGACACAGAGAGGGAAGTCAACTTTAAAAAATATGATTAATAACATCAGCGAAAGTTCTATACTTGCTTTAACTCCTATTTCAGATGCTGTTGTACGCTGTGTGCAGCCCATTTTACCAACAGAATTCTTGAGGAGCAGAAGTCACCCGTTTATCTGAGCCAGAAATAGAAGCTGAGTTTCTATTCTCAGTAGAGACCATGCCTCACACTGTGTGGCAATCCTCCCTTATTGTCCTCATGGTACCCTGGCTCACATTACCTCCCTGCCACTTCCTAGCTATGAAACTTCAGGCAAATTTCTTCACCTCTTTACCCTTCAGTTTTCTCATCTGCAAAATGGGAATCATAATGATGGTAGCTATACCATAGGGCTGTTGCGAGGATTAAACGGGAAGATACACTGCAGTGCACAGCACTTTGCTCAGTAACCACAGAGGCTTGGAGAGGAGGCAGCACCTCTTAAGGGCCTGTGGCAAGTGAGTGTGGCCCAGGAGGGTGTGACTCCAAGGCCAATGGTCTTTCCATGCTCCACAGTCTTTCACCACCAAACAATCACATCCCCAGGATGAAGTCATCTATCTTGGGATCTACAGATGGGAAGGGCTTGGTAGCCTTCCTGAAATGTATGTCTTGGCAGTAACTTCTCCTGCTCCTTCTAGAAGGTGACAGTCTGTGTTGCCTACCTTTCTGGGCTTCCTCAAAGCGATCGTTCTCTGCTAGCCACTGAGCATACGGCATGTAGATGTCATCCTTAAACTCAGGATGCTTCTCACCCAAAGCAAAGGCCTGGGGGAAGGAGCAAATGAAGTCTTAATAAAGCTGCCCCTGCAGCCCCCATGAAAACACTGTACTTGGCTGAATCCATTAGGGACATCATATTTTGCCAGCCTGACAACTCAGAGGGGGAGAGTGCCTCCCCCAAAAAACTACCCACAGAAATGCAAAAACAAATCAGCTCTTCGAAAACAAAAGGCAATTAACAGCAATATGCAAGCGACTGGATTCAGTAACAACACAGTCTGTTTCTGGACCACAGAAGCGGCACAGAATCGGAAACATTTTATTTTGAGGGTTTGCGTGGGCTCCTGTAGTGCTGCAAACAGATTTCTTTTAATTGCGGGCGACACCTAAGGAAACAGAATTGACATTATCATCATCACCACTTCTTATCAGTTGTCAAAGATGACTGTGGGCTTCGTGCTGTATGGACCCACTGACTGCTTCTCACCTAAGCCCCAGAACCACCTGTCAGGCCAGGAGAACCGGACATGAGCCATGGTGAGAAAGTCTGCCTGATGCACAGCGAGGTCTGAGTCATTCTAAGATGCTCTAATCTATGCTGCTTGGGAAATCTAATAAATTTCTCTTGAGAAGCCACCATTGCCTCTGTCCCTAGCCCCACCTTTTCTCATGACTGACCTCATCACCTCACCAATGGAGCTGTTCAGAGAGCAGACAACAGTCAGACGGCTCCTCTCAGTGAAGGCTTTGCTTTCACTCTAAAATGGACCATGATGGGTGGGTGGGTGAGTCGGGGGAGGATCTTGGCACAGCTCCTAATCCTCTCGGGGATGGATTTCTCTGCAGGGAACAGGGAGCCAGTGAGCTGGAGGGTGGGGGTTGAGCCATAGAAGGGGCAGCATCAGCTGCTTCTGCCAGCCTGAGGCTGGCCACCTTTCTCGCTGACCTGGCTAATTCTTTACAGCCCCTGACACCAGAGAGAAGTAGTGGTTGTGGGGTGGGGGCAGAGAAGGGAGGGAAAAAACTGGCCCCTGAAATGGCTCTCACAGTCTGGATCTGGAAAGCACAGATGGTGCTTTCTGCCAAAATGCTACCCAGCAGGTTTTAAATGTCACGCAGGTGCATCTCCACATCAGCCATGTGTCTGAGCCTGTGGTGCTGGTCAGAGGCAGCTCAGCCCAACAGCAGGCACTGGAGCTGTCGTGTTCACACTAACATCCCCGGTGCCTGTCACCACCCTGGCAGAGCTGGCTGTCAGTAACGATTTTCTCAATGACTGAATGAAGGGACAAGTGGAAAGGCCCTCCACGATTCTGTGGCTCAGAGAATTCGAGGTTAAGTTACCTGACTGCCAGCCCAATGTTCCTTCCATCACGAGGGCAGCTTCTCTCCATCTGAACCCCAAAGGGCCCCTGTACCCACCCGCCTGTGTCCCAGGGCTCAGGTGGGGCCCCAGCCCATGAGGCCTGCTTTCCCCTCACCTCATCCCAGCGCTGGGTCTCCACGTGCAGCTGCACCAGGGACTTGAGGTCACCCATCTTCAGGTAGGTCTCAGCAGCATAGCCAGGGCTGTCCAGCTTCTTGAGGTAGGTAGCGCACAGCAGCAGGGGCTCGCGCTCAGCCTTGTCCAGTTTGCGGGCGATGTCGATCAACCTGGAGAGGGAAGGGGCAGGTAGGAGGGTGGGCTCTGGGTCTTGTCAACGGCAAGCCGTATGTCCATTCATTCTGTGGTCCCCAGTGTTGATACTATGCCATGGCCCATGGGAGTTGCTCAGTGGGTAGTTATTAAATGCATGAATACACACTCCAGAAACATCACCAGGATCTGGGAGAGGTGGCCTTTACAGGATCCTGTCAGCCACCTTGTGTGTCTTTCTCGGAAGTCACTGAGCTATCCAGCAGGGTATAGAAACAATTATCTCCTAATCCCCTACCAGGTACCCAGATGACGCCATGAGCTTTCCCATGCGTGAAATCAGAATCTTCACCACCCTAAGAGGTGGGCATGATTATTTCCATCTCTCAGATGAGAAGAATAAAGTCTGTGGGGAAGGTGAAGCACCCAGCCCAAGACTGGGCCCAGCACTCTTTCCACCACGGGTGCAGGAATTCTCACGGAAAAGTGGATGCCAAGGCATAAGAATACCTCAATGACTGCCCTCTAAAGGAAGAGGTGAGTGTGGGGCCTGCTCTGAGCTCTGGACAAAGGCCTGCAGGAAGTCTTCCCTGTCCTCCTGGCCAACGTGCTGACCAAAGAGGGAGGAGCTGCAGGGACCCACTGGCTCACCACTGCTTCCCCATGGTGAGCAGCCCTCCCATCACTCATGGGGACATGAGGCCTGGATAGAATGCGCTTGTTCTCTCTGGTCAGGCTGGAATTTGGAGTCAAACTAACTCTCCCAGGAGAAAGGGTTCTACCCAGGCTAGTCTTGGTGAGAAAGGAAGGAGAAGCAGCTGTAACGAATCCCTGTCTGGAGACAGGCAAGGCACGGAGGCCTGTCAGTCTACACTTAGAATAATAATGGCATCTAAAAATAACACTGCTCAGCAGAAAAAGGACACGTTTTTAGGGAAAGGTGGCATAGACAGCCCTTACAGCCTTAGAAACCTTCCCACCCATCACACCCAACGTCCCTGGAGGAAAGACACCTTTTATAGCCACATCTGGAAAGCAAGCAGAACATGCTTAATGTGTTTCTTGAATTACTCAAGTACCCTCAGGGTAACCTGATACTATAGCACTTACAAATGAAAGTGACAAGAAAAACCAGAAGAGAGAACAGAGCACCCTAAATCTGCCTGGCTCTCTTCTATATGAACCCCTTCATTTAAAGAATAATGTGGGGAACAAAATCTGTGCCTCTGTCTTTAAAAAAATTACTATCGGACAAGAAAAAGATGGGGTGGTAGGACATCCATCAAGGTCCCTTTGTGAGGGGCCCACACACCAATTATTAATATATGGCAGCACCCAAGGAAACAATTTAATCATTAACCAGCCTCTTCCATATCCCCAAATCCTGGCTGGGCCACTGCTACCTGTAGACCACAACGTTGTTTCCAGAAGAATCAACAGCCTTTAGGACCCAGCCTGAGCCACCCTCAGGAGCTTGTCCCATCGTGTCCTTTGCCTACCGCAGCAGCATGTGCACGTGTGTGTGCACATGCTTGAGCCTGAAGCTCACTGACTGGGAGGACAAAGCCTTCCCCCTCAAGGTCCGGTGTGCTGAGTCCCAAGGCTGAATCCATCCTGTCTCAGTGCTGCCCCACCCCAACCCCCTCCTCTCCCTGTTGTCCACCTTGACGAATGGTGTAACCCACCAGCAGCCACAGAGCAAAGCCAGCCTGACACTCACCACTGCCCCAACACCCTGGGATGGGCCACTTGGTTCTAACACTGCTACTTCTCTCTCATGCCCTCAGCTACCAAGTTCCCTCCTGCTCTACTGCACTAGCCAGTTATCTGGTCTCCATTCTACCTGCCTGCCTGAGGGGGTGTCTGACTGTAGGTGGTCACTCACTATTGGCAAATCTAAGCACCTCCGTTTGGCATCGGAGGCCCTTCCAGTGTGGCCAGCCCACTTCCCCCAACCCACAGCCCATGTCCTTCACCCTCCCATTCCCACACGTCTTTTATTCCAACCAGAGCCAACTCGCTGTGTTTCTGCTGTACTTCCTGCCTGCATATCCTTTCCCGCCATCTCTATTTACCTCTTGGAATTCTTTAAGGTCCCTTCATGGAAAGAGTGTCTCCTAAGAGAAGATATCCATGGTTCCTCCCATAAGAATTCTTCCCTGATGGATTTGGAACTTGTTTTGTTTTTGTTCCTACCATTACACGCGTAGTTGGCATCGACATCCAGCAGATCAGAGGCTAAAGCTCAGCTCTACAACTTTCCAGCTATCTGGACTTTGGGAATAACTTGTCCCTTTAGCTTCTGTTTCATCATCTGCAAGGTGGGCGAGGAGACACCAGCCCTGATGGCATAGGTGGAAAACCTAATGCCTGGAAGGTTATCACAGCGTCTGGGTTGTAGTGAGCGCTCAGCAAATGGCAGCTGTGATGTCCCGGTGTCTCCTCTTCCCTGGTCCCCACCATCCCTTCCCCTAGTGACTCCACAAGCTCCTGGAAGGCAGCCACTGCCTTGTGCAATCTCTGTGTCTCCTGAAGAACCTAGCCACTATCACATTAGCTTTAGATAATTAGAAAAGCACTATTGGTTCCCTTGTCAGTCAAGAGGTGACATGTGATGACATGCTGCCAAATGCTTCTCGGGGCAGGGACCAAAACCTACATGTCAACCCAGCCATGGTCACCACAGATCTCGATGGCCTTGACGTGCTCTCCTGCTGAGATGTACATCTCCACGGCGGCTTTGGGCTCCTTGATATTTCTGGCCCAGTCAGCCTGTTTGGTGATTAGCATCTTTGTTTCTTTGGGGTCTCCAGATCCAAGGAAATCCTGAGGAAGCACAACAAACAAAAACACTCTGGATCAGAACTTCCTGTGCCAGCGTTACATCAGGCTTTTCTAGCAGCAAGGGCGGGCTCCACATGGCTGAAGCAGGCAACCAGGAGGTAGGCAGGGCCCGGCCCTGAGGGGCTGAGTTGGGGGAGTCCCAGGTCTCGGGAAGAGTGATCTCAGGCTGCCCTGCAGGTGTTCCTGGGGGATCCTGGGACAGCATCAGGGACGCTGGCCCCCAGTGCTTCCTTCCCGTCTCACAAATGGGCATTTGTTCATCGGCTAAACAACACTTTCTAGACTATTTGGGGCACTGCACATGAAGTCTGCAGGGTCGGGGGTTCATGATCAGGCTGTCTCTCTCTCACATAGTTTGGTCAATACAGGACTGTTCCTAAACAGCAATGAGACAACCTGGTGCACAATTCCACATATCGAGACCTGTCATCTTATTCAGATCATATGGGTGATACCACATGCTTCAGAGTGAGGCTGAGCATGGGTTCCCCTAAACTTACACAAACAAAATGACTTACAGTGTTTGCCGGCCCTCCGTGCCCTCCATGCCCTCTCTGAGTCACCAGCAAACATTCTGTGCCCTGAACTAGAGAATCATCACATTGTCTTTGCCCCAGTTACTTTCCTGGAACAGATAACAAGCAAACATCTCTCTGGTTAGTTGCTTCTCAGCTGAATGGTTAGGGATCCTGTGCTGAGGTCAGGTCTGCAGGGGTGAGAACCTGATCCGACAGTGGGACAGCAGGAGGCCATGGGGGAATCTGAGGCAGGGAAGGTGCTCAGGAGAGGACCTGAGAAGGAAGAGATGGCTGTGGTCCTGGAGGCTCAGAGATCAGGCCTAGGGCCTGTGTTCCTTCGGCCTCAGCATACCTCTGAAGTGGTATGCCCAGCTTCTCTGGGCTGGCCCTACAATGTGTGAGAAACAGCCTCAGAACACCACCTCTTTTCAGAGTAGTTACCCAAAATACACACGTGGGAGTTTGCCAGAATTGAGGCAGCTTTTAAAGGTGGAGCTTTTCAAAAAGGGAAACTGGGAGCACTTACAGCCCAGGTCTATGTTACTGGTAAGAAGTGGTTTGTCTCAGGAATAATGTACCCTGTGGAGAGTACTTTGTGTCAGCCTCACTGAGAACAAAAAAAGCACTCCTTTCCCCATGATTAACACTCATGTGTCAGAAAAGTACAGTCAATGTATGCTAAAAATCCACTTGAACAATTAGCTCGCTTTTTTCCCTCATTTGCTTTCAGGGTAAATGTGCTTTCAGAGTATTAGGTCGGCCTAATATATGATACATTTTAAGAAGGGGAGGAAAGCGCATTGTATACCCTGATGCTGGGACCCAATAGAAGACAGGCCCCCTGGCTGGCCTTTGGTTCTCCCTGGAGCTGACAAAGGGAAGGGGCTTGGAAAGCAGCCGCTGTCCCCGCCTAGTTTGGGCCTTTACAGACACACCTTTCCTTCTGGCAGCTGCTATGGCGCGGATTCTCTATGCCAGCACGAAGCTGGAAACCCTGCCTACCTGGCTGGTGAAATGAGGGTGGCAGCTGGAGGAAAACAGGCATCTTAGGAGACTAGAAATGTCCTTCAAAGGGACTTCAGTGAGTGCTCAGGGGACCAGGGGTGACCACGGCAAGGGTGAGAGGCTGAGAGGGAGCCATAAGCCTAGGCCAGCTGGTCACTCAGGGAGCTGTGACTTCATTGAAGCTGGGTCTAAAAGCTTCCTTCAAGGCTCAGCAAACTGGAAATTCAAAGGCTTTTTGCTTTCCTGAAGCTAAGTTACACATTATCTGGGGCCATGGCAAAGACTTGGCCCTGAAGTGGACAGAAAGAGGCTGTGCTGAGTGATGAATGAGACTAAACAGTGTTCTCATGCTTGGTGATTTTGATAAGAACATACTACATAAGAGTTAAGAGCATTATAATTCCCTTTATCACCATATAAACATGTCACTTATCCAGAAAGCATACAATTTATTTGTACGTGGGAATGTAATTTTAAAATTTTCTGAAAACCAGATTGAATCTTGGGAAGCAATTTTCAAGTAAACAAAAATATGCCACGTTAATCAGGACTAGATCTCCCCCACCCCCCACATAATGTGTAGGTACATATTTCTCAAATTCAGACTACCAGGTGGGGGCAGGGGGGATTGAAAAGGAACCAACCTCCTTGGAATAGTGATCAAAAACTAAAACCAAAAACAAGTCCCAGAGTATTTACCTTCATAGAGAGACGGAGCAAATGGAGTGTGTAAATGGGCTGCAGTTCTGGTGGGAGGCTGTGGGCACACGAAGTCCACCACAGTGTAAGGAGGGGCCTCAGAGCAGGGGCAGGAGTGGGGCCAGCCAGGGAGAGAGGTATGAAAATCCACTCTGTGGTCACGTGTGGCCCCTCTCATCTTCCTAATCTTTCTACAGGTTGGCATTTCTAATGCGCTTTCCTATACATTATTCTGTGCAAATCTCATGACTAAACTGAGCTGTCGCTATTACCATCTGAGAAGGGAAGGGAGGTTTGGCAAACCGAAGAGCCTTTCCCCAGGTCATCCCACAGAAAGAAACTGCACTCACACCAGCTCTGGGGCACCAAGGCCAGGCATTTTATTATTTTTTTTTGACATGGGTCTTGCTCTGTCACCCAGGCTGGAATGCAGTGGCGTGATCTTGGCTCACTGCAACTTCCACCTCTGGGGCTCAAGCAATCTTTCCACCTTAGCCTCCCAGTAGCTGGGACTACAGGCACCAGCTAATTTTTTGCATTTTTGGTAGAGAGAGGGTTTCACCATATTGCCCAGGCTGGTCTCGACCTCCTGAGCTCAAGCAATCCACCCACTTCAGCCTCCCAAAGTGCTAGTATTACAGGTTTGAGCCACCATGCCCAGCCTGGTCAGGCATTTTCTACTGCAGCACAGCTGCCTCCTTGAGGAGGCCTCAGGGGTTCCCAACCCTAAATTCTACCTCTAGGGTCTTGATCCCTTAAGGGTTCATCCTGAGTTAAAATTTTGTTATCCCCGGAAGCAGAGATGCACTGACTCTGGTGATCTCAGTATGAATGTGTTATGAAATCTTCTAGGTGTCTTTGGTGGGGCCTGAGGGAGGGTAGGAAAGGTGACGAGGAAAAAGTAGAGGGAGCCTGAACACCCTGGGTCTCAGGTACGGAGTGAAGAAATCACTAAGGTGAAAAGACAGGCTGGGGCCCAGGAGCTCGTCCAAGTCCTGATGAACAATAGGTCCTGGGCAACATCACAGGCCACCAAACACACCTTCAGCCCCAGGGTCGAACAGGTGGTGGAAGAGCACAGCCATCTTCAGGAATAGAAAAGCAGAAAAAAGTGGGGAAGATTTTCCATCTTGAACTTGTGAGCTGGAGAACTACCATTAGTAGCCCACCAATAGGTTATGGCTGATGAGTCACTTCATAACATACTGAGAGCCACTTTTGACACTTCCAGAAAAGGCAGGTTAACAAAGCCCCTTGATGGAAGGAAGACCCTCATTGCCCAGTGTACCGAAGCCTCTTTGAACCTTGCTTAGACTGAACTGCAAATGTCTTGACTGCTCTGGGCTCCTTAGTGCAACTCCTTCCCACAGAAGCCATCAGGAGCCTGGTCCAGGAAGCTCCTCTCCTACACCTGCCTTAAAAGGCCCAGCTCTGCTGGGGAGTAAGGTTCATGGGGGCCGTCCCAATGCAAAAGGGAATCTCTGCCATCACCCACTGCAACCACATGGTAGCCACTCTGCAGCCGGCAGGCGTGAGGCATGCTGCGCTAACATGGGAGGGCGGAGGCTCTGCCTGACTTCCCAGAAGCCCAGTGAGAAGTCCAGGACAATCAGCAGGTGCTATGGGAAACTTGGCTGGCAGGCACCATGTCGTCCTGCATGATCGGCAGGACCGGCTCCTGCCTGAAGACACCGATTCTTGGCGGCTCCTGACAAGGATTGAGAGGATTTGTGGGGGACAGCCCTGAAGCCCTGAGCCCTCAACTCAATGAAGGGATTGTGCTGGTGTAGACCCACAGCCATCCAGCCCTGTCACTGATGAAGGTCTGAACTGCCATAGTCTGCCCCCTTGGTGTCAGCCTTAAAGGTCAGTTTTAGGTGAGTTTCAACCAGTGGCTGTAGATGGGTCCTTTGTTTACCAGTTTCCCCACATCCTTTCTGAGACCATTGCTAGTTTTTGTCCGCAGCACTCTTGGGGAAAATAACTTGGACACCGCACGTGAGAATACCAGTGGGCTCCAAGCTGGAGCTTGGGCCTGGGACAGGGTAGGTTACCTTGGCATACTCAAACATGCAGAGGTCGGTGTACATTTCAAGCGCGAGGTTCTCGTGCCCACTCCTCTTGTACAGTTTGGCGGCCTCATGGAACTTCCCCTGGTAGGAAAACACATCTGCCAGAAACAGGTCATTGTTGGTCTCTCCCCGCTTCTTCCTCTCCTGGAAAAATTAGAAGCAAAGGAAATGGCCTCTGCAGCCATGGGCAGGAAGCAGCCTTTACAAAGGTTAGATGTGGCTATTTCAAGTGAGGCCCCTGGGCCTTCCTACTGGAACCTGGGCTTGGCTCCTGGCTGTTGTCTCTCTCCCCTAGGTTCCCGCTGGGAAGGCTTGACAACAAAAGCAGGCTTTTACCAGACAAGCAAAGATCAAAAAAAGATGCAAACCTTTGTTTGTTTAATGGAAATTCCTCAGGGTTGCTTTCCTGTGTATTCCAAGGCTATGACGGAATAGTTTGAATAGTGTGTGCTCTGACTCATCCATGACCCCTAAGCTCCCAAGATCTCCCAAATCCGCAGGCCCCGTTTGGCAGAGTTGTGGCTCATGGGGATGACAGAGCAGGAGAATGTTTAGGGTTTCTGCCCAAGAGGGAGACCAATAAAATAGGATGACAAGTCTTACGATATCCCTACTTCTAAAGAGAAGGTAAGAAATCCCGCATGCTGAACATCCACTAGGTTCTGGGTATATACTTTATACACACATGGCCCCTTTATTCCTCTCAGTGACCCTCAGGGTAGGTCTCACTACCCAAGTGTTAGAGTGAAGGACGCTGAGACTCAAGAAGAGGAACAGGTCAGGGTCAGACAGAGCTGGAATTTGGACGCAGTTCTGTCTGACTCCAGATATTCCTTGTATCACACAATGTAGTCTTTTGAAGCAAGTGATGTCCCCAACAACACACACACACACACACACACACTTAGCACAGCTAGGATAAAGCTTCTTCCTTCTGTGTCAGGGAACATTCGCTTGTCTACAGCTCGAGTATTTGTAAACACTCAGTAGCACCCAAACCCTGAGCCCTAGCAGTTTCCTTTTGCTTGTTTTCTAGAAAGAGCAGCATATTGGAGGACGATAAGACATTGAATCAAACTCTTAGACAAGCTGGTGAAAGTTTTAACAGCTGGAGGCAACATGCTTCCATACTGACAGAAATTATCATTCTAAAAACCTGCACACAGCTCAGGCTCATCAAACAAACTAACTCCTAATAGTTGGAAATGAATTGAAATCTTGCCGTGAGATAAAAGATTGATTTTGGCTGGACATGGTGGCTTACACCTGTGATCCCTACACTTTGGGAGGTCAAAAGAGGAGGATCACTTGAGCCCAGGAGTTGTAGGCCAGCCTGGTCAATATAGCCAGACTCTATCTCTGCAAAAAAAAAACAAACAAACAAACAAAAAAGGTTTTACTAGACATGAAATTCAGGCCATATCCATTCTAGGCCCCAGGATATCACCATGACCAATAAAAACGATCTATGGCACTCAGCAGGTGCATGTCAACATGGGCAGGTTCTTTCCCCCCGTCAGCAGGACAAGAACATCTCCCCTATCCAAAAGGCACCCACTAAGGATCTGCAGTTCTCTGGAATTATGCTGAGCACCCAGATGTGTGCAAATAAGTCTGCAGGCAGTCGATATAGAGCACACTCAAAGGCACTTTACTTTTTTTCAAGAGACAATCTTAGGAGTTTACTTTAACGCACTTCCCAGCTCATAGCATACGAGGAGAGGACTACATTTTGACCCCAGTAAGATGTGACAAGTAATAGTTGGACCCCACAGCAGTTACTTTTGTAGAGAGGAAAATTATGCTCCTTGGCTTCAGGTGAAGACCCCCAGATCCAGGCCAGTGGATTTACAAGTGAAAGTCAGCAGCACTGGGCATTTTGAGCAATAGCTCCGAACAAGCCCTTTACCACGCGGGTAGGTAAACCCCAGAATATACAGATGCCCCTTACAACACGCGGGTAGGGAGGGTATGTGGCCGAGAGAGCATGAGCTTAGGAAATAGACTGGGCTTGAATTCCACCAAGTTTTTGGCTATGGACCCATGGGGATGTGGCATCGTCTTGCTGAGCCTTAATTTCCTCCTGCATGGAATAGGGAGAGCAACAGTACCTGCCTCATTCAGTTAATGTGAGGATCTAGAACAGCATTCACATAAATCACGCATGTGGCACAGAGCAGATTACGTTATGAGGCTTAGCAGGCTGTGAGCTCCTGTCAGCCTCTCTCCTCCTCAGCTCTGTGCCCACTGAGCTCGGCACAAGGGCTGGCCCATGACAGGTGTTTATTATGGGGAAATGAATGAGAGGGACAAGACATTTGCTATTTCCTCACTGTTTCCAACTGGGAATTCAAATGTATCTCACATTCCCATACCTTCACAATAAATATGTTCAGGAGAAAAAATGTATATGCCTTTTAACAGACAGCCAGACAGCACTGAGATACACAGAAATTAAGAATAGTGTCTAAGGGCCGGGCATGGTAGCTCAAGTCTATAATGCTAGCACTTTGGGAGGCTAAGGTGGGCTAATAGCTTGAGCCCACGAATTTGAAACCAGCCTGGGCAACATGGGAAAACCCTGCTCTAAAAAATATACAAAAAATTAATCAGGCGGGGTGGCACATGCATGTGGTCCCAGCTACTTGGGAGGCTAGGTGGGAGGATCATTTGAGCCTGGGAGGTCTATGCTGCAGTAAGCTGTGATCGTGCCACTGCGCTTGAGCCTGGGGAACAGAGTGAGACCTTGTTTCAGAAAAAAAAAAAAAAAAAAGAAAAAAAAAGCATAGTGTTGACCACCACCCAGCAAATGGCATACCTACAACCAGCTTCCTTAGCACACTGCAGGCCTATTGGGTTTGGATGACAAGGTCAATATTCTCAGCCAGAAACAGTAGGGCTAGGGGTTGCTCCAGAACTCTGGGGCGCTCAGTTCAGACTGTGGGCCTTGCTCCCCAGGTCCATTTCTGGGGAATGGAGCTCAGCTCATGTGCATTTGGGAAACTCCTCCAACACTATCAGATTACTGGAGTCTGAGAGGATGGTGACCAGCTATCCGCCACCAGGAGGATGCAAACCAGTTCCTGAGAACCTACTGAATCCTCACAGCAGCCTGTGAGGTAGGTCCAATCCCTTTTCACAGACTAGAAACCCAACCCTGGAGAGATCCGGAACCCATGTGCCTCACCCAGCTATCACACAACAGCTCACACTACCTGCTGTTGTCTCCCCCAGTGTGGCCACTCTGCCCCCGGAGCAAGGCTGTGGCCCAGATGCCCAGACGCCAGTGAGCTCTGTTCCCATGTCCTCAAGGCTCTTGCCTGTTAGAAGGGCTGCCCCTAAAACAGGAACCCCAAGTATGCCTTCTTGAGAAGGAAAAATGCTTCATCTTTTACCTCAATGCTGCTGATGAGCTCTAAATATCGGAGGTCTTGTACTCTGATGAAGGCCTGTGGCGAAGAAATAAAGAATAAAATAAGCTGTCTTCTTGGCTTCAAAAGTGGGTGATTGGCTAGGGGTGGGAAGTCAAGCTCTATCTAGACAGTGAGCCACAGAGGAGAGGAAGGGAGCAAGCACAGATTAATCATCGTGCGTGCAGGAGGTTATACCACCCAGCGAGGCATGGCTTTATCCATGGGATTGGACCATGTAAAGAACAGCAAAGACATCCCAGTTGCATCAGTCATTTTGAGATCAGGTAAAACAAAACCGTGATGCCACAGTCTGTGGCGGTGCCTCCTTGGGAGACTCTAGACCCAAAGAAGAACAAGCCGGTCTGACCCTCTGGGGGGTCACGCAGCATCACAGCAGGAGAGGATGAGATGCATGGACTGATGAGAGACTGCCTATACATCTTGGCAACATGGGTAGAATGCAGGGGACAGCTATGCCTACCCAGTGGTGCCACAGACACAGGGGACCCAGAGCCCCTGGTACCACAGAGGGAGCAGAGGAGGGGAAAGCTGAGAGGGTATAAAGACAGATTCTGGAAGAAGGTGGAGGGGTAGGGAATGAATCCCACCAAGTCTGTGGAAGGCAAACTCTTTATGTAAACCCTAAAATTGCAGCCCTTGCCTTGAACTCACAGTAAAGCCAGAGACTTTAACTCATGGACCTCTAGAAGTTTCTGAGGAACAAGCAGACTGGTGTTAGCTAAGCTAGTTTTGCTGCTTTCAGATTCTGCCCAGGGTTTGGAGGAGCACAAGCCACCAGGTCAGGCTGCTTTCAGGTGGCTTTGCTGTCACCATTTATTGCCCCATTCAAAATGGGCTGACCTGTGCCTAGAGGAGGCAGCAGCTCCAGAGCCCTTTGAACTGAACACGCAGAGCAATCCTGACCACTTGCAGCCTCTGCTCAGCAGCATGGCATCCTCCCTCCTGAAAAGACCTCGGGAGATGAGCAAGTCCCCGGCCTGCCTTGCAGGTGACCACAATGCAACTTTATCTTTTCATCCCACAGGACCAGGCTTCCTGTCAAGAGACTGAGGACCCAGGGAGAAACATGTCTCGGCCCCTGTCCCCCTCCACAATTCAGAGGTCCACATTCTAACAGGGAAAGCTGGTCAATTAAACAGATCATGACACCTCCCAGAGCTAAGAGCTCTCCAACTACGAACCACATGCCTGGAGAACACGGATGAATGGTCTGAGCATGAGCAGGGGTGGGAGGCAGCGTTAAGGGAGGCATCAGAGTCAGAACCTGGCAAACAAGTGTTTGTGAAGAGGAATTCGTAGAAAAGGGCAATGCGGGCATCACATGGGCCAAGGAACACAGGGCTAAGACTACCTGTGTCCCAAGCTGTAGGTCTTACACATCACCCTCTAGATCTGGGTTTCCTTAAAGCGCCTTGAGAGGGCAACCCTGCAAAGCCCAGCACAGTGGCCAAGAGGGAAAGGAGCATTCGAGGTCTGAGTCCTCGCTCTGAGCCTACTTCTCTGCTTCTGGGCTCCAACCATCTTCTTTGTGGAAAGGGGCCTGCTACTGACACCCTCTCAAGGGTCTTTCTAGCTGTAGCTCAGCTGTGCTAGTGTCTAGGATTTGCCCATTAATAAATCTGTTTCCGAGTTCCTTCAACCTGACACATTTTGCAGCGTCAGGGTGCCTGGTCAGAGTCACAAGGCCCCTGAATGAGCTCAGCAGAGGGAAGCCTGGGAATAGGGAGGAACCTGCAGCTCTGCTCAGGGTCTGGCGGGAGCTCAGCAGCTCTTCTCTGCCATCTAGTGGGGATGGCTGTCCATCTCTAGGAACCACTATATCCAAGCTGGTGAGCCTGAGTGCCTGGCACAGAGTAAAGAGGTGGGGTACTCGGGATTTAGATGAAATAGTAACATCCAGCCTATCTTCAATATCATGTGGCTTTTTCAAAACAGCATGTTGTACACAATAGATATATACCACATACACTTACTTTTCAACTATAGTAAATCTGGCTGGGTGTGGTGGTTTATACCTGTAATCCCAGCACTTTGGGAGGCTGAGGCAAGAAGACTGCTTGAGCCCAGGAGTTCAAGACCTGCCTGGGCAACACAGTGAGTCCCCGTCTCAATATTTAAACAAATATATAAAAATATATATATTTATAAAAATATCAGTAAACACTCATATTAAACCTTGTGGCTTTTTACAATCCTTTCTATTCTAGGGATTTGTCGTCTCCCTCCCTGCTGGCATTTCTGGGTGGGGCAGGAGAGGGAAGCTCCCTCCATAGAGATGCCTCCTCCCTCCTCTGAATTCTTTTTTTTTTTTTTTTTTAAGTCAGAGTCTTGCTCTATGGCCCAGGCTGGAGTGCAGTGGCACCATCTCGGCTCACTGCACGCTCCGCCTCCCAGGTTCACGCCATTCTCCTGCCTCAGCCTCCGGAGTAGCTGGGACTACAGGCGCCTGCCACCATGCCCGGCTAATTTTTTGTATTTTTAGTAGAGACGGGGTTTCACCGTGTTAGCCAGGATGGTCTCGATCTCCTGACCTTGTGATCCGCACACCTCGGCCTCCCAAAGTGCTAGGATTTACAGGCGTGAGCCACCGCGCCTGGCCCCTCCTCTGAATTCTTACAGCCTCCTCCATCTCCACTTTCCTACACTGAGGACATCTAAAAATATAATCTAGATCATTGTTACACAACGATCACTTCCCTTGTTTAGTAATGGCTAGCATCTGCACAACCATCCCTGATTTAAATTCCCCTTTACAACATCTCAGTTAAGCCTCATGACTGCAGCGGGCATTCTCACCACCCCCATTTCAGAACTGGGAGGACTGGGGCTCCAAGGAAAGTGGCTGGCCTGAGGTCCCAGAGCCCCTTATGTGACACAGCTCGTTCTCAGCCAGGCTTCTTAGTCCTGGTCTGGTCCAGTCTCCTCTCTTCATGCCTACAAGTCTTGATCTAACCCAAGGCGGGCATCACGTCCCTCTTTGCCACTCCTTCAATGTCAGCCCGGGAATATGGACAAAATGAGCAGCTCATTAATTGACTGTGGGGAGATAAAGAGGGAAGGGGTAGGGGAGTGGAGGTTGGAAGCCATTCCTTCCTCCATCTGAGGTTCTAGATGGAAACACAGCTCAGGAACATACCTGGGCTTTTCCTTATGTGCAGAGAGGGGTCAGATGTTTTCAGCCATCTCTCTAGCTTTCATAGACTAGGCCAGGAAAGGACACAACGAATCAAGTCCATGAATCCCGCCATGAAGGTACGTGGGAAGTGCCCACATTGCTGTCAGAATCAGAGACCTTGACCATCTCTCCCACCTTAGTTGGCAGATGCTAAGAAAAGCAGCATTGTGTGCAGCATCATGGCCAGTGACTACACCGATAATAAAAGCCGCCATTTACGGAGTGCCTGTGATGTGCCAGGCTACTAGTCAGGTGCTTCCCACAGAGAACAGCTAATAAGAGTGACAGCCAGAATCTGACATGCTGCTCCTGGGTCAGGCTTTACAGGCATCCTCCCATTTGATCCTCACAGCTTTGTGAGGATGGGGCCTGTCATCATCCTACGTCTATAGAGAAGCAATCTTAGAAAGGGTGTCACCTACCCAGGCCCACAGTGAGGAAGTGGCTAAGATACAAGCCCAGGTCAGCCTAACTCCAGAGACTGCTGCAGTCTATGGCCTCTCCGTGCCACCTGGGTCCCCATCTGCCTTCTTAAGGGACCCCACAAGGACCAAACTCCAGCTCCTGCTGGCTAGATGCTTACCTTCTTTGCTGTTTCAAAATCTAAACCTTCTAGCGCTTCCATGGCCAGTTCACGCCAATCAGTGTCTGTGACACCCAAGCAAGCAATCTGGTAGGCTTCCTTGAACAGTTTCCTATCCAGGTACTGGTACATGGGAGCGGACTGCAGGATTTCATCAAGGGAAAAAAAGAAGACTGTTTTCAGAGCCATGGAAAGAACCAGATGCATACAGAGCCTGCCTCCAGATGCGTGGGATGATTACCCATGCCTGGGGAGCAGCCCTGCAGCCGCCAATCAGCACCCTGCCCAGCCTGCCCAGCCCACCCTGTGTGCTCCATCCTGCACCTCTCTCATGACTGGGCTACTGTGCTCCACAGCACAAACTCTCTGCCCATCCTCCCCTCCTTCCCACCTACAGGCCTGCCTCGCCATAGGATGTCACCCTCACCTGGAATGCCTTTGCCCCTCCCCACTCTGCCTCTGGAAAATACCTATTTGGCTTTCAAGGCCCTGTTGAAATGTCACCTCTTCTGCAGAGTCCTCCCAAGCCCCTCAAGCCCCCACCCCAGGGGAAAGAGTCTCAGCTTCCTCTGCCCTTTGTCCAGATCGCAGGTTGTGCCGCAGTTACAGGCCTGTTCCCACAGCAAAGCCGTGCACAGCCGTGGGCAGTGGTGGGTTGTATCGGCCTCCCTCAGCAGAACCCCAGTCTACGTTTGCTGACACAATGAATGAGTTCGTGGGAGGAAGCGGTCTGGAATGGCCTCTTCTTCCAGGGACTGAGTCCAAGAAAGGTAAGTGATTTGCTCCAAGTTACCCTGGAAGCCTCTGGAAACAGCTCTCCTGATCCCTGCCCTGGGGACAGATGCCCTCCTACAAGATGGGGTTGCCTTGCTGTGAGTGCCCATGAATAGTTCCTAACGACTTCTCTTTCTTAGGTTTATAAAAGGCTTTTGGCTGTCCCCACAGTCCTGTGCAGTAGGTATTATTTCTCCCTGGCTACAGCCCAGGAGACCGAGACTCAGAGAGGACAAATGACCTGTCCCAGCAAATAGCTGGCAATAGCCAGAGGTGACTGGACTCCAGGTTCTGTGCCCCTTCCTGCCACATGTATGCACGCGTGTATATGTGCATATGTGCGTGCAGGCCTGAGAATGAGTCTTGAGTTGGGCCATGACATCTTTAACAAGGAAAGGCCTTGCCCTTGTTTTAGGCCAGCCAGTGTGCTTCAGTGGCCTGCATCTCTCCTGGCTTCCTGGGCAGGGAAGAGAAATCAGCCAGGACCTCTGTGCTAATGGTTCCCAAATGTGGAGCTTGAAGTATTGTTTTCTCCATTTGGGGCTTTTGTCTGTCTTTGAAATTTCCAGTCCCATTTTTTAGCTTTAGAATTGAAGGAATTTTTTTTATTTTGAGTCTGTCTACTCTCAGAGCAAAACATGGCTGCTTCCAAGTGCTTATCTTTTCCACCATGCCATCTCTCCTCATTGGCACATTAAATGCTCCCTTTAGCGGGGCAGCAGGCATAGGCTACGGAGCAGGTGACCTAGAACCCAGGCCAGGCTCAGCCACATCCTAGGCTGGTGACTTTTTGGGTAAATCCATTAACTTCTGTTTAGATGTCCTGCCCAGCTCAGGCTACCATGGGCAAAGGAGAGATGTGCTCCAAAAATAATGAAGCACTGGGCAAAATGCAGGCATGATCATTACCTTCACTGTATTTTCTCAGCACCAGCTCCTCACCATCTCCCAGGCTCTCCAGTCTTGTTCCTACCCCCACCTTTCCCTTTGTTTGAAAAGCTTCCCTGCTCCACTCTTCCTTTCCAGACCTCTCAGGGCTCAGATCAAGTTTCACCATCTCCTGGAAGCTTTCTCAAACTCCTGAAAGCTTTTCTTAAAGCACACAATGAGCTTTCCTTTCTAAAGTCCGTCAGTAAGTACAGCCTGTTGCAATTTAGTTGTGTTTTGTGGTTTTTGCTATTTTATGAGTCAGTAATAAGGAGAAATAATAATAGAAATTTGGCTTGACGAAACCTGAAAGATGGGTATAATTAACCCCATTTCACAGAAAAGAAATGAGGCCCCAAAGAGTGAAATGAGTTGCTCTAGTTACAGCTGCTTGAGATGGCAGAGTCAGGACTGAAAGCTGGTGCTCCTTCCCCGAACCACACCAACTGCTTGCCATGCTGACTGCCCCGTGAGTGGGACAGGCACTCAGGCAGGCATATCACAGCTGAGCATATGATGGATGGCTAACACTTGGACTTACTTGGGAGGCACAATTTGAGTGGAGTTTTAAAAATAGACCCCACTGAACAAATACTCTCTGAGCTATACTTTATCTTGCTGTTGGATTTCAAACATGAAGTCACCACCGCCTTGAGAAGCCCTCCTAGGGCTCGTTGTCCTACTTGGCAGCCCTGACAAACCAGTTCTTGCACAAGACAATGTAAATTTCGAAAGGCAACCAAAAATTCCAAGACTGGGTCTGATGCTTTCTCCCTCCTCTCTGGGCCAAAACCACAGGATGGCCGGAGGCAGAGGCGACAGATGAACAGCCTTTGTCTTGAGAATGTGTTTCCTAACCCTTGGCAGTCCTGACCCGCTGCGTCAGCAGGATGGCCTTGGTGCAGTCAGCAAGACTTTGCTGCTGAATCTTAAAGTCCTGGCAGAGGAAGCCCCAGGCTGCCCCTCTGGCTCCTCTTGGCCGGCCACAGTCAGAGAGCAGCAAACTGCATTTATTTTTGAGGTCAGGATGGCAATCTTGGGAGAAAACCTTTTAATAAAATAAGCAGAGCTAGTTTGGGGCAATTGAGGGAGATGAGTTCCTGGTGGATGTGGTGCGTGGGTTTGTAATGGGGCAGACAAGGATGACGAGGACACAGTCCAGGAGAAGCTGTTCGTGCCCCTCGTCCTGCTGCCACTTCCACCCACCTCATTCCCTTCTTCCTCTTGCTTTCTGGTCTTTTTCCTCAGATCTGAATTCCACTAACATTTCTTGAATAGCTGATCTGTGTCAGGCATGGATGATGGGCATTTCCCCAGTAAGTCTTGCAGTCATGAGTTTCGAGGGTATCATCAACTTAGAAGAAGTGGGCTCTAGCCTGAAGCTGAGTTGTATGGGGAAAACAGACTGACAGAGCCTAGCGGAAGGGAAACCTGGAAATTTCCCTAAAAGTCTTTCAAAGGTACACGTGCTTTGACCCAGCAATTTCATTTCTAGGAATTTATGCCAAGGCGCCAAGTTGGGACAGGTGCAAGGACCTAGCTAGAAAGATGCCTGCTATTTACAATAATACAAAAAAGCTATAAGCAGCAAACATGTCCAGTAGGACTGGTAAAGAAAGCTGTGGAACATCCACAAGACACAATAAAATGCAGCTGTAAATACAAGGCAGGTGGGGACCAGGCAGGAGGGAGGGGTGCTGGCTGTAAAAAGCACAACACCAGGGACCTTGTGGTGGTGGCAGTGTTCAGTGCCATGACTGTGGTGGGAGATTACACATGCCAACATGGGTGGGAAGATCACTCTAGAGCTATGCACACTGTTACCGTTGGGGGAAACTAGGCAAAGGGTTTAAGGGATCTCTGTATTATTTCCTACAATTTATGTGAGTCTACAATTACCCTAAATTTTGCCATGCAGAATAAGAACATTTACCATTTACTGACACAGAACGATGCTTTAGGAGATTGTTGAGTGAAAAGGCCAGATGACTAGTGTACAGCCAGCACTTCATAGACAGTGATGGGGCTGCCATAACCGAATGTGAGGTGAAATGAGAAGATAGCCATAAAGGAAGGGATGAGAAGTCTTGTTTACAGGCCAGGCTCAGGGAATACAGTAAATCTGAGGTTCCATCTATAGGTAGCAATACGTATACACATAAAAGTCATGAAAAGTATTTGCAGTGTGATTCCACTTTTGTTTAAAAATGTTCTTATAAAACCACATGCTCCTAATTGTATATTATGCATATATTATATATACACGTAGAAAAGCGCTAAGCAGATGTATTTCAACATGTTTAAGAGTGATTCTGTCCTGAGGATGGGATGCTGAAGGCTACAGTTTCTCGCTATGCACGTCTCTGTTTTATGGCAATTCTACAGTGAGCACCATCTGCCTGGGGTGCAGAAGGTGGAGGGGAGACCATCCTGCATTCGGGAGGTCAATCTCAGGCGCCTGTCTGTGGTTCTGCCCTCCCCCATTCTGTGGCTCCACCCTTCAGTGCCCCATTTCTGTTCTGGCCACCTCCTGGTTCAGAGAGCTTGTGCAGAGTCCCATGCTCCCTTATTGGCTCACAGACCTCAGCCCACACCCCCCACCCACTCATTCTCTCTCTCCCCTCTCTCTCACACACACATCACCACCATCACACACGTACTCACACACACACCCTGCCGGACTCCCGGCTTTGCTGCTCACTCCATTCGGCCCCACGCTGGGCTCTCTGCAAAACACACGCTGCTGACAACACTGCATACCCCTCCCATCCCTACAGAAAGGGGACAAGGAAGAAACTGATACTCAGGGAGGTTGAGCTGTTTGCCCCCAGTCACACAGGTTGCAAGGAGTGGAGACAGGGCGGCAGGTTCCAGGCCCAGACTGCCTCCCACGACCTCACAGCTGCCATTCTTCTCTCCTTGCTACTCTCTCCCCAAAGCACCAGCAAAGGGCCCAGCTTCCCTGGTCTTGTCAGCCTTGCCAGTGCTAAGAGTGGACAGGCACCCCCAGTTACCTGCGGCACCTCCACGGCAGAAATGGAGAAGACATGGAGGCAGAAGATCTTGGAGCCATTGTAGCCGACCACAAAGCCCTGCAGCTTCTGCCGGTGCACAGGGAAGGTGCTGGCTTTGATGTTGAGGTAGCCTCCTCCCGAGAAGCAGAGCATGTCCTCACACTGGGTGTTCCAAGCTACACTGTTGGCGTTTGGTTCCTGGGGAACAGGGACAGTGGGGATCCTGTGAGAACCACCCTGGGCTTGGTCAGCGCTCACACATTTCAGCCCAATACCCTCTTAAAGACTGAATCCCACTAAATTGCTTACAGTGGGATGGAGGGAAAAGGATGAAAGGGGACCACAAAGAAATGAACAGAGGCAAGAGAAATGAACAGAGGCAAGCCCCTCCATGCACCTGCGTGTTGTTGGAATTTTTGAGTAAGCAAGTATTACTTTTGAAAAAAAATTATTCTCCTGAAATATGCTCATACCTTTCTGCCTAGGATCTTTTATAATGACTAAATCTTTTATAATCAGCATGGATTGTTTTTTATAATGAGAAAAAATCAATATAGCTGTTTTATGTGTAGAGGGAGGGGCAGTGGAGAAGAGGAAAAGCCAGCAGGCAATGTTACAGCTGGGAATGCTGATGTCTCCTGGCAGGGCTGAGAATCACCTCCCCTAGCCTGCCATAGAGCCAGCAGTGGGGATGGGGCAGCACAGACGCCCTTCCACACTTGTATGATTCTAGGCTCAGACACAAGATTCACATTTGGGGCCAGCTATGCCCCCTATAGGTGGGAGGTGAGGCTGGGGAGAAGGGAAGTAACATTTCAGGCCCCATTTTGTGCTCAACACTGAGCTAGGCACTGTAGTATCTAGTGTATTCCTGTAGCAATTCTGTAAGGGGCAATTACTAATTTCATTTTAGAGAAAAGTAATTAAGGCTCAGAGAGGCTCACTAACTTAAGATCACACAGTAAGGGATGCAGGCAGGACCCAAGCCCAGGTCAGCTTGAAGGCTATGCCCTCTCTTTCCCCGAAACCATTCTACTCTCTCAAGGACATGAGTGAGTTGAGACTGACATGGAGTTACCTCTGGGCTAGAGGTGGCCAGGTAACTCCTTCTAATTGACTGAGGCTGCTCCCCACTCCAGACCCCTCCCCCATCGATTCTGCTGCTGAGAACAAGGAGGAGCCTGGTAAGGGGACTGAATCTGCCCATAACATCAGGAAACCCTGCAGTGGCCGAGGAAACCAGTCAGGAGGGGCTCCAGCTTTGGGGGGAACTTCACTCTGGAAAACCAGTCCTGACCACCTACAAAGACCTAAAGAGAGAAAGAATGGCGCGAGCCCAGCAGAAAGCCAACCAGGCCCGGGGCACAGAGCTGCCGGGCTGTCTTCTCTGGTGACACACTTCCTCAGGCCACAGGGCTGGATGACTCCACTGAACAACGCCTACAACCCCAAAGATCCAAGCACTTCGCATTCTGCTGGCTCTTCTAGCATTCTTGTGAATTAAGTAGAAGGCCAGGCTTGCCCATCCCCTTCCCCCTTTCAGATGACAAAACATCCTGTTTCCTTCCCACGCTGTAGGTGCGCATAGACACAGGCAGGCCTGCAGCAGGTGAGACACAGACTTCTGCAAAGGAAGTGCATCCATCGCCCCATTCACTGAGTGCCAACGTCACACCCCTCTCAGAGTCATTGCCCCATTTCTTGTTCATGGTAAACGCTTAAGAAAGGCTCTGCTGGCTCAGAGCCTTCGGTTTCCATTGGCAAGGAAACCAAAGTTAAAGAGGCCGGTCCAGGCCCTGCGGCTTGTGCCTGTGTGGGAGGAGCAGGTTGTGGCCCAGGGCCTCTGGGACTCTGTGCATGTGCTTGGCCCCTGCCCCTCCCAGAGACCTGCCTGGGCCAGAGCAGGAGAGCCTCCTGCAGGGACTGGGAAGCTAGAGGAGAGTCTCTAATCAAAGGATGATGTCCCTGGGCCCCCTCAGGGACTTCACCTGAAAAAGCAGCTCCTTGGTGTCGATGTCATACACCAGGCAAGTGTCATTTTCATCTACCACGGCCAGCTTCTTACGGGAGGCACTCATGTCCAAGCAGCGCACAGCTGTGGCCTGCTTCAGCAGGACGATAGCAAAGAGATTGTCCACGAAGATCTTCAGGATCTGGCAAAATTTCAGCGAAAACAGTGTCAGTCACCATGGCAACAAGATCCTGGCCCACTGCCAGGCCGTTGGAATCCCATGTGCTCTGCAAGAACAACTCCCACCACCTTCACCAGAAGCTCTGTGCAGGGAAAAGGACTCATCAAAAGAAAGAGGGGGGTGGGGGGCAATGGCTTATCCTTAGGAGGCCAGAAGCGAGGTTCATCAGAGGCTGCAGAAGTAATGACAGCCCTGAGACAGGCCGAGCTCACTTCAGTGTCTGTTCGGACTGGGGATTTGTTGATGACATTACCCAAACTGCAGCTTTAGGAGATGCCACCTAGCAGAGATCTGAGTCACGAACTAACACAGGAAAAAGCTACTATGAACACTGACAAGACATGTGGTAGAAAATTATAATAATGATGATAGTGATCATGATAGCTATCATTTACTGATATCCCTGGTTTAAAAAAAATTTTTTTTAGAGATAAGGTCTTGCTATGTTGCCCAGGCTGATCGCAGTGGCTATTCACAGGTATAATCATATCACACTGCAGCCTCAAACTCCTGGGCTCAAAGTGATCCTCCTATCTCAGCCTCCTGAGTAGCTGGGAAAACAGGTACCCTCCACCATGCCTGTTTTAATACCCCTGGTGTTTTTTTTGTTTTGTTTTGTTTTTAACATTGGCTTTAACTCCCAACCCTGATGATATCTGTTTTTGACAGCCCTATGAAATATGTGGTATTATCCTCATGTAAAACCAGCCTCACAGAGGTAAAGTGACCTGCCCAGGATGACAAAGCCAGTGAGTAGCTAAGTAAGAACACGACCTCCGGCCCACCTGACCCCATAGTCCATGCTCCCATTGGAAGTGAGAGCTGCCTGAGAAATAAGCGGCCCTTCCTCCCCTTGGCATTGCTGCTTGACTTCACCCACTGCTCTCATGCCCTGTGACTTCCATCCCCAGCAAAGACCTGACAAGCCTCAGCCATAAGCCATCTGCTGCACAGCTTGGCTGTCAGGCTAATGCAGCTACATTGTCACTTTCAAAGTTCCATGTAGCAGCCTACTTAGAACTTTTCTTATGCTGAGCAAAGAACACACGTGTACACATGTATACACACACACAGAATTTTGTGTAACCTGGATATCCCACATCTAACTGGCCAAAGGGCCCATTTTGCTTATGACATCTATCAGTATCTTGAGGACCCAGCATTCTTTAGGACACATGCTGGAACGCACTGCCTTAATCCACTCGCTGCCCTAATCAGGAGCTGACCTAGGTAACGATCTCTGCCTCCCTCTAGAAATCCACAGAAGCAACATCTCTAACAAATCTCCCACCTTCTGGAGACCTTAAGCCACTAATACACTCTACATGTAGCCAAAGGTTATAGCTCAACTCTGCCAAAACGTGGGCCTGCTAGGAGTGTGAGGGCCACAGCACCTTTGGCCTGAGGCTGTCCTCAAAAAACTGAACTCAGGCTGCCCCACAATTCACCCATGGAGGAGAGAAGCCCTTTTCCTGCCCTGAGAACCCAGCTCAGAGTCATTGCTAGACGGGTCACCCACGTGTGCATGCAGATTATCAGCCTGACAGGAGACGTGAGGGAGCACTCACCTGTCCATTCTTCAGCCCCACTAAGAGGCCTTCTCTTCCAGGAGGGCCACCGATCACCTTGATGTAACGAATGAGAGACTCCATCTGCCACTCCCGCTCCTTCACTCCGCTGAAGGACAGGCACTGCAGCCGTTTCTCCTAGGAAGCAAACCCAGCTCTGCATGGAAATTCAACAGAATAAGTGCCCCCAGACCTCCCCAAGGAGATCTTTCTGTCCCTAAGGGGAGAAAATACCTACACATTCAGTATCCATCTATCTAACCCAATGTAGACCCCACGATTGGCATCGTTAATCCAAGACTCCATGCAAGGCTTCCCCACGGAGCCCAATTCAGCCTCAGATCTTCAATGCAAACCCCCACCCAGGCAGCCTAGGCCAGAGGCAGCACTCAAAAGTACACATACTTGCCACATCTATCCTGTAATTTGTAGCAACCCTAAACCGCTTGGAGTTCTAACTTTGATTATTTATTTATTATTTGTTTTTGAGACAGAGTCTCACTCTGTCACCCAGGCTGGAGTGTAGTGGCGCTATCATAGCTCACTGCTGCCTCCAATTTCTGGCTAAAGCAATTCTCCTGCCTCAGCCTCCCAAGTAGCTGGGACTACAGGCAAGCGCCACCACACCCAGCTAATTAAATAATTTTTTTTTTTTTTTTTTTTTTTTGGTGGAGATGGGGTCTCTGTTTTCTAGACTGCTTTCGAACTACTAGCCTCAAGCAATCATCCTGCCTTGGCCTCCCAAAGTGCTGGGATTTACAGGCATGAGCCACTGCACCCAGCCCAGTTCTAGGCTTTTGAGAGATTTTAATAGTATTTTACACTACAGTGATTCCTAAGGAATTCTTCTCTTTTATCACCTCCAACAGAACTATGTAAAACTAAATCCACCTCTACTTCCAAGATGCTGGGCTAGCCTTCTCTCAAAGTCTTTCCAAACTTCTCTTGGCATTGACTTAGACACTCTCTAAGAATCTTGAGAAATATTTTTCTATGAAAAAAAATCTTTCAGGAATTAAAACTTCCTTGACAATTACTGAGTTGATACAAATTTTATGTGTATATGCTTATCAATAAAAACTATCTTCATTCTGTACACCAATTTATGTTTTAAGTCATTAAAGTATATCTAATCCCAGTATGACAAGATGTTCTGCAATAGAACAAGGTATTCTTGGCTAGACACAGTGGCTCACACCTATAATCCCAGTACTTTAGGAAGCTGGACAGGTCTCAAACTCCTGGGTTCAAGCATTCCTCCCGCCTTAGCCTCCCAAAGTACAGCCTCGCGTCTCTACTAAAAATAAAAAATTAGTTGGGTGTGGTGGCATGTGCCTGTGGTGCCAGCTACTCAGGAGGAAGACCGCTTGAGCTTGGGAGGTCAAAGCTGCAGTGAGCCATAATTGTGCCACTGCATTCCAGCCTGGGCAACAGAGCAAGACCCTGTCTGTCTCAAGAAAAATATTTTTTAAAAAATAATAAAATAAAACAAAAAAACATTCTCCAGTTTATGGCTCATGACTTGCTGATAGAGTCTGGTTCATCCAGATGCCAGGAAAATGAAAGCCAATAAGCACCACTTAGTTTGATGGAACAGACTTGTTTTCTAGTGACCAGTTTTAAAACCATGAGGTGGGCACCCTATCACTGGGGGGGGAGCACAAATGGAATTCAGCCCAACTCCTTCAACATGCTGCTGCCCACCTGGCACAGGATGATGTGATTGGCACACACCACCAGGAGGTTGCACTCAAACTTCTTGATAATCTTCTCCTTTACCCGGTAATGCATGTCTGATAAGTCCTCTGAATACAACTCATAGATGAGGATTTTCTCTGGCAGTTGGATAGCCAATCGATTTCTGTAGATGGCAATCTTCTTGACAAGCTCTTTGCATTTAATCCGAACTGTCAAAGAAAAAAATATCTAGTTCTAGCAAGAGGTTGTTATGTAAGGTGCAAGGCAGAGAAATTAAAAGCCATCATTTACTTAGCGCTACTGGCAATTAAAGTGAGATACTCTCATTGAAAAATCTTTAGAGTATCTAATACATACAATCAACTCTGCTGAACCCTGGGATCCAAAGTCCTATAGGACACAATCTTCATGGTCCAAGGCTGACAACTGAGTATGGAAATAAACTACTCACTGTTACCATCACTTGCTGGATACAAATATAAACTCCTCTGCACAGCACTAGTGGCCCCCGGTGATCAGAAGCCTGCCTAAGTAACTGACCTCACCTCTGGCCGCTCCCTGCCCACCTCCTTGACAAACGGGGAAGACATGTAATTTCTGGTACACACCAGGCTCTACACTCCCACTACAGACCAGGTGGAGAAAATGTCCCTAAGGGGGACACTGTGAAGCTGCCCAAGGGGCTTTGCCCCAACCACCACAGCCAGAATCTTCAAAAAGATAGGGTCCCCCAGGGGGACCAAAGGACACTCATCTGAATCTACAAGACAACCCCCAACCTGGATCCCTTGCAAAGGCACCTAGCAGTGCACTAAGGCCAGCACATCCAGATATGAATACACCTGAAGTAAGTGGATTGAGTCTATTTAACCAGCACAGCAACTTAAGTGGACAGAGGGAGAGACTGCAGTCTTAGGGCTTAGAATGACTATGCGAGGCCGGGAACTCTGATCTTCTGACCTAGCCTGTGCCAATCCAATTCCACTGCTCATCTCTGGCAGAAGGACCCACCAGGAGGCAAGTGGAGACAGGGCTGAGGGAGAAGCACCCCAGAGTGACTCTGACCAGAAAGGATAAAGGTCCACGAAGACCCATGCAGGTCAACCACCTGGCTCCAACCTGTCATAAATCATCCTCCCTCACTAAGGAAATTCATGTACTCCTTGAAATTATGTGCAAAATTCTGAGTTGGTACATTTTTCAGAGAGGATTTATTGCTTTCATGAGATCCTCAAGGAGACTGGCATCCCTACTTCCCCCACCAAAAAAAAAAAAAAAAGAAAACAAGACACAGACCCAGTGGCTAACAGGTTTGCAAAACGCCAAAGAGAAACCTTTTCCTGTCATTTCAAGTGCCCTGTCACCAGCCCTTTCCACCTGCTTCCACCTGTCCCTCTTCCCAAGGTCTGGACCTGCCTCTTACCTTTCTGCTCAGTGATCAGGTGCTGCACAATGACGTCAGTCATGCTATCCCTGTAGGCATAGCGGTCCTTGTAAAGCCCATGGACTGTGCTGAAAATAAGCTGGTAGAAGGAAATGGTGCCGTCCTGGCAGCCGACCACCTGCGGGGTGAGAGAACTGTCAATTCCCAGCTCTCTGGAGAAAGTCTGCATTCCCCCATTTGTCAGACACAAACCCCAGTGATGTGACTCGAGACACGGCGGCTGCTCAGTGCCTCTTCAAGCCATGGCCCCACAGAACAAACTTTCTCTTCTTACCACATAGTTGGAATCCGGTTTCGCTTGACACGTCCACACCCAGGAGTTCTGCTCCCCAACAGTCCCAAGCCGCACTCCATCCTTGGTGAAAAGAGATACTTGCTTGTCTGAACCCCCCAGCAAAATGTACTCGCCTTTAGTAAAGTAGCTGATGCAGCAGGGGTCAAAGTTCAGTGCCCGATCCTTTCCAATCTGAGGAAAAAGAACACACAGCAAGGGAAAAACCATTTCCGAATCCATAACCATTGCAATACAATTAAGGGCTTTTTCTCGCCAACTTTAGAGGGAGTTGGGAAGACAGGGAGAGCTGGCCAGCCTTTTCTCCTGTGTCATCCCATGGTGAACACAGGCCTCTCTGCCTCTGCATCTCCCTACTCATCCTCTACACAGCCCAAACCTCAGCTCCTGGAGTCAGTGGCACCTCCCCTAGTCCCACCCAAGTGCTCCAGGAGTGCAGGAGTGTGTCAGGGCTCCTCCGCCAAGATGGAGACTGTGGGTGGTTTTGTTCCCAAAGGCCCCCCTCCCTCTGCAAATATAGTTCTTCCTATAGTTCAATGGGTTCCCTCAGCTTCTTTTCTCCGCCTTTTTAAAAAAGTATTTTATAAAGCTGAGTTTATTCAGTTTAAAGACTGTCCTTTATTCTGCAACTACACCCATACTACTTCTCTTCATTTTTTAATTCTTGTTTATTTCAAGATGGGGTCTCACTCTGTCACCCAGGCTGGAGTGCAGTGGTGCAATTACGGCTCACTGCAGCCTTCAACTCCTGGACTCAAGCGATCTTCCTGCCTCAGCCTCCTAAGTAGCTGGGACCATAGGTGAGTGCCACCATGCCTGGCAAAAAATTTTTTTTTTGAAAAAGGGTCTGACTCTGTTGCCCAGGCTGGAGTGCAGTGGCGCCATCTTGGCTTACTGCAACCTCCACTTCCCAGCTTCACGTGATCCTCCTACCTCAGCCTCCCAAGTAGCTGGGACTACAGATGTGTGAGAACACGCCTGGCTAATTTTTGTATTTTTTGCAGAGACGGTGTTTCTCCTTGTTGTCCCGGCTAGTCTCAAACTCCTGAGCTCAGATGATCCACCCACCTTGGCCTCCCAAAGTGCTGGGATTACAGGAGTGAGTCATAGCTCCTGGCCTATATTTTTTTATTTTTAAACTCTACGTTGAACCTTTTTTAGGAACTGCTACACTTTTCAAGTGAATGCACCACTTTATATTTGCATTAGCAGTGTATGAGGATTCCAATTTCTCCATTTTAGTGAGTGCGAATTATCTCATTGTGGTTTCAATTTGCATTTTCCTGATGGCTAATGATATGGAGCATCATTTCATGTGCTTATTGGCCACAGAGAAATGTCACACTCTGTGGCTTAGGCTGGAATGCAGTCGTATGATCATAACTCAATGCAACCTTGAACTTCTGGGCTCAATTCCTCTGCCTCAGCCCCTCACCACCCCCAGTAGCTGGGACTAGAGGCATATACCACCACACTCAGCTAATTAAAAATATATTTTTTTAGAGGTGGGGTCCCACTGTTACCCAGGTTGGTCCTGAACTCCTGTTCTCAAGTGATCTCCCTGTCTCTGCCTCCCAAAGCACTGGGATTACACGTGTGAACCACCATGCCCAGCCCTGTCTTTATAGCTCTTTATATATTCCAGATACAAGTCCTTTATCAGATATATGAGTTGTAAAACTTCTCTCATTCTGTGGGTTGTCTTTTCTCTTTCTTGATGGTGCTTCCTCAGCTTCTAGGATGCAGGTCAAACTCCCGAGCTCAGCCCCCAAGGTCATTCTCTCAGCCAAAATGAACTTGTAAGTTTCCTAAGCGGGCAATGCTTTTTCAGGCCTCCACATCCTCACAGGTGCTACACTCCACACCATTCCTAGACCCAGCCAGGAATGCTCTTTCCCTCACTTTGTCTGCCAGGTGTCATCTCCTCCAGGAACATCTCCAATCCCCATCCCCTCATCCTCCCACAGCACTTGTGCTCGCCTATCCCATTGCACTTCTCTCGTTGTCTGTAGACACAGGGTTAATCAGGTCTGCCCCACTAAAGCCCAAGTTCCTTATTACCACTGGAGTTTTTTGCTGCCCCAAGGGTGTCTTTTGTGAATAAAAAGACGATTTGTGATTAACATTATTAAACTAATATTCAATTTATAAAAGAAATAACTTTAGGGAACTGGTTTCTCCTTAAGTTCTTAAGTTCAATTTACAAATATTTTCCTATTTATAAATCTAGTTAAAGTGAACAGCCAATTGACTTTGACTGTTTAAGGCATCCAATTTTGAACAGATTATAAAATCCCTTAAATATCCAGTCCCATTTAAAACTTAGTTAAATTAATTCCCTTACACCAATTTAAACTGCAATTATAAGTTTAATACATTCAAATTTCCTTTCCTGTATAGGAATTTCAAATGCCTAGCAACGAAAACTTTCCCTAGCACTTATCTGATGCTAGAAAACCTAACAAGAAAACTAAAAATTCTTATGAATCACGACATGGAAGGCTAGCAGCTTCTGGAAATGGCTCACTAGTTCCCATCGGACCAATCTTCCCACAAAGTAACAACAATAAACTCTGGACCAACTATAAACAACAACCATTTCAGGGCGACCAAAAGCAGGCAGAAACTGAAGACACATGCACATTTAGAAGAAGGGAACAAACACTAGGTGAACTTCTCATTTTTTTAAGGGTTTTTGCCTGAGGGCAGCCCTCTTCACCATCATGCTGGGTGAGTATAGAATTTGGGAGGACCACAGCACCCGGAAAGTGAAGTGGGAAATCCCAGAAAAGAGAAGCAAAGTAAGAGCTTAAATTCTGCACATAAACTCCACTGAATATCTGGAAACCCTTGAACTATAAACTGTGACAAGATGCCAAGCAGCCTAGCTACAGCTAAAGAACTGCACAGAGATGTCAGCTGCTGACACCACTGAAAACATGGAGTTTTGATTTTGAGCCCAGCAAAGTAAACTGCCTGCTTAAACATATATACACACAAACATACACAATAATCTTCAGAGGAACATGATGGATATGAGTCTTTATGACATATTACTCACAATATTGAGTACAATTCAAAATTCCCCAAAGCAGGAAAATGTGAACCATATTCAAGGGAAAAAAATCAATGGAGACTGAACCATGACGACCCAAATGTTAGAAATAGCAGATAAGAATTTTTGTTTGCTTTTTGGGCACAGGTCTTGCTCTGTCACCCACACTGGAGTGCAGTGGTAAGAGTTCACTGCAGCCTTGAACTCCTCAGCTTGAGAATACTCCCACCTCAGCCTACAGAGTTGTTAGGACAATGGGTGCCTGCCACCTCCCTGGCCAATTTGTTTGTTCGTTTTTAGGGATGGAGTCTCTCTATGTAGCCCAGGCTAGTCTTGAACTCCTGGCCTCAAGCAATCGTCCCTCCTTGGCCTCCAGAAGTACTAAGATTACAGGCATGAGCCACCATGCCCAGCTGCAGATGAGAATTTTAAAACAGTTATTATAACTATGATTAAGGCTATAAAGAAAAATACGCTTGTAATGAATAAAAAGGAAAAAAGAACCAAATGGAAATTCTAGAAAAGGAAAAATGCAATAATAACTGAAACAAATACACACTGAATGAGCTTAAGAAAAATATTGGAAGTTGCAGAAGAGTCAATGAAATTTAATACTGAACAACAGAAATCCTCTAATCTGAAGATCAGAGGGAAAAGAAGGGATTTAAAAAAATAATAACAGGGCCTCGATGACTTGGAGAACAGTAACAAAAGGTCTAATGTAAGTGTAATTAGAGTTCCAGAGGAAAGGAAAGAATGGAGAAGAAGAAATATTTCAAGAAATCATGGCCAAAATGTTTTCACATTTGGTGAAAGACAGAACGATATCAATGTGTAGATTCAAAAAGCTCAGTGAACACCAAGAAGAAAAATGTAACAAATTGCTTAAGCATTCCAATATTGCTTAGGAACCTTAAATAATATACACTTTAAATATAATTCTTATCTTTCCACTTAAAATCAGAAGTAGGCCAGATATGGTGGCTCACACCTGTATTCCCAGCAGTTTGGGAAGCCAAGGCAGAAGAATCATTTGAGCCCAGGAGTTTGAGACCAGCCTGGACAACATAGGAGACCCTATCTCTACCAAAAAAAAAAAATTTTTTTTTTTAATTAGCAGGATGTGGTGGCATGTGCCTGTAGTCCCAGCTACTTGGAAGGCCAAAGTGGGAAGATTCCTTGAGCCCAGGGGGATCAAGGCTGCAGTGAACCATGATCATACCACTGCACTCCAGCCTGGGTAACAGGGTGAGGCCTTTTCTCAAAAAGTAAATAAAATCAGACATATGAAATTACTCAATACAACTTTTGAATGGTCATTGCAAGACTAATCTGATAGACATTCTAATATGGATTCTGGCACCAGTATGCCTGGGTTTCAGCAGGGTGGACCACAGACTAAATGTGTGCCTTTGGGCAAATTATTGAGCCTCTCTGTGCTTCAATTTTCGTACATGTAAAATGGTGATGATAACAGTATTTACCTCATAGGGTTGTTATAAGGATTAAAAGAGTTAATCCTTGTAAAGAGTTTATATAATGCCTGGAATTCAATAAATGTTAGCTATTATTATTATTAAGCCAGATCCCCTTAAGTATTACTAACACTTCAAATGACAAAAATACACAAATTATACCTCAGACTAACACAAAAGTATGGGTTTGATTTACTTCATCATCCTATATTGAATTCTAAATCTTCCTAGATTGGGAAGGGAAGACACCCAGCAAGAAAACAATTTTACTGTCCCAAACAAGTTGGGGTTACCATCTCAGCAGGTTAAGGTTGCTCATCGTGCAGAAACTTTGGGCCACAACATGAGCTCTGGGGCTGCATACATGCAAGATATTTCCTGTGGCCCTCGGCCATGTTGAGCTCTTTTCTTCTGTGGCCATAGCAACAAGACCCCATTCCCTCCCACTGCAGTGTGGTTATTTGTTCCCAAGAGTCTTCAGTACCCACATCCAGTGCCTCGTACACAGTAGGTGTGCCAATAAGTATCTGTTGAATGATGATGTACACACATTAAGCAGATGAATAGAGAGGGCCAGGGAAACTAGATGATAGTTAATTAAAATGAGAGTTTTAGGAAATCAGCCATGGGAAACTGAGAAAATACTTCATTATCTGCTCCCTTTATCTTTTCTTTACTCGAATACAAAAGAAATGACCAATGGTAAGGCAGGGGTAGAAGAAATGGCCCAAAAGCTGGGCTACACACATCTAAAACTCTTCCCTCTTACATGACATGTTTTGAGGAATAAGGATGCTACGCAATTAAAGGCTTCACTGCACAGGTTGCATTTCTCACTTGCTTGGCTGTGGTGTGAAATCTGTACCCAGCACCTTTACTCTAATCCTTGGCATTTCCTGCCTACTAATAAGTCATCCTACTACCATGCTCTCTATATTTTAATCCACCCTCCATGGAAACAAGTTATTCTTCTGAAGCAAGAATCTGTGATGCCACTTCCTGCCACCTATGGCTCCTGAATACTTACAGTATATGATGTTCAAACTTCTTATTCACACTACTCAGGTCCTTTATAATCACATCTCCAGCCAGGCGTGGTGGCAGCTCATGCCTGTAATCCCAGCACTTTGGGAGACTGAGGCAGGTGGATCACCTGAGGTCAGGAGCTTGAGACCAGCCTGACCAACATGGAGAAACCCCGTCTCTACTAAAAATACAAAATTAGCCGGACATGGTGGCACATGCCTGTAATCCCAGCTACCCAGGAGGCTGAGGCAGGAGAATCTCTTGAACCCGTGAGGCAGAGGTCGCAGTGAACCGAGATTGAGCCATTACACTCCAGCCTAGGCGACAGAGTGAGACTCTGTCTCAAAACAAACAAACAAAAAATCATAGGCCGGGCGTGGTGGCTCATGCCTGTAATCCCAGCACTTTGGGAGGCTGAGGCGGGCGGATCACGAGGTCAGGAGATTGAGACCATCCTGGCTAACACAGTGAAACCCCGTCTCTACTAAAAATACAAAAAATATTAGCCAGGCGTGGTGGTGGGCGCCTGTAGTCCCAGCTACTCAGGAGGCTGAGGTAGGAGAATGGCGTGAACCCAGGAGGCGGAGCTTGCAGTGAGCCAAGACTGAGCCACTGCACTCCAGCCTGGGCCACAGAGTGAGACTCCATCTCGAAAAAAATTAAAAATAAATAAATAAATAAATAAATAAATAAAAAATCATACCCCCATGTTCCTCTTCAGCTCTGTTTTCAGGTCACAAACTCTGAGATGCAGTCACCCTGTACAACTCACCATTCTCTGAACTGTCATATATTTTCATTCCTTCCTGCCTTGATACATGCTATTTTTTTTTCTGCCTGAAACACCATTCCCAATGTCCTTAGCCTAACTCAAAGATGGCCTGCTCAAAGATAACCTCTAACAAGACCTCCCATCTCTACCAAGTAGTGATGTTACCCTCTTTTGTGTCCCAAAAAGCTGTCTATCTGTACAGCTTTCTATTGTGTCACATACCACACCACACAGGGGCTCTTTGCTATCAAGTGTGTCTCCGCCAGCCTGTGAGCTCTTGCAGGTAGAGGCTATCACTTTCCCAGCTCTATGTCAGCAGCTCCTTTATGAAAGGGCTTTCCTGAGTGGGTACTCATAAATACTGGTTGAATGAAAGAAAGCGAATAGAGGAAAGTAAGGTCAAAATTAAGAGCTAGATTTTAAAGTCAAACCAACCTGGGTTTAACTCCTAGGCTCCACCATTTACTAGCTGTGTGAGATCTTGGGCATATAATTTCACTGCTCTGAGTTCTGGTTTACTCATTTCTAAAAAGTTGATAAGGAAAGTAGTACCCACTTCATTGGGTTTTATAAGAATAAAATAGGATAAAGTATGCAAAGCAGTGAGCACAGTATCTGGTACCACAGCAAATGCTCAATAAGCAGGAACTAACAATGATAATGTATAATTAATAGTAACAGAATCTCAGAAAATGAAAATATAACAGGCATGACTGCAATTGGATTTGTACAGGGCTACATACCTGTTTTCCACTCAGCTGGTAGAAGGAAACTTTCTGTCCCCAGTCAGCCACAGCCAGGATGTCATTACGTTCCTCTCTAATCAACAGAAGATAAAAGAGGTTATGAAGGGCCACAGCCTGCTGATGAGTATAGCTCTAAGGGCTTAAACAACAGGAACAAGGAAGTCCTGGCCTCAGGTTGCCAAATGTTGTACAGCTTTACTGAAGCCAAAAGTTATAATTTGGCCCAACCCATCAATCAGTCTTACGGGATGAAGCAGAGTTGAGGTTCAGCCTTCCTGGGATCTGCTGTTTCACTGAGTCCCCTGCTATGACCTTATGGTGCTGGGGACACTGCTGCAGCTGAAGAAGATAAACCTCTCATTTCAGAGCTTACTGGGGAGCAACACTAAGATAGGCAAGGCTGCAATATTGAGACTGCTTTTCTCTTACATACTAGAAAATGTGGGGAGATGGCAGAGAAACATCTCTTGCAGCACAAAGACATTTTTTAATAGAAGGGAAACTTGCTTGCTCTTCCTGAAGAAAGAAAATTAACACCTAAAAATAGGTTCTCCTGCAGGCGGGGGTCCTTGCACAGGTGAAATGGTTTCTGACTGAATCTAATTTTCAAAAAAGAGCAATGGGCTCTGAAAACAAACAACTGTCTTTGAAACTGAGAACCTATGGGGATCAGTGCTGTGGGGCTGGGACTGTAGGACCAGCACACAGGAGAAACTCCCTTGCCTGAGGCTGGAGAGCAAGCTACCTGGGAATCTAGTTCAAGAGAAAAGCGGCAGCCCGTGATGGCTCACGCTTGTAATTCCAGCACTTTGGGAGGTTGAGGCAGGTGGATCACCTGAGGTCAGGAGTTCTAGACCAGCCTGGCCAACATGGGGAAACCCTATCTTTACTGAAAATGCAAAATTAGTTCGGCGTGGTGTCGCGTGTCTGTAATCCCAGCTATTCCAGAGGCTGAGGCACAAGAATCGCTTAGAACCCGGGAGGCGGAAGTTGCAGTGAGCCGAGATCGTGCCACTGCACTCCAGCCCAGGTGACAGAGCCAGACTCTGTCACAAAAAAAAAAAAGAAAAGCATTCCTAGCCCTTGAGGCTGGGTCTTAATCCACCTAATGTTGCCTCTTTGTTTATTAATTCCAGCTTTTCTGATCCCAGTGTCTTGTGGTAACCTGGTAGCACCACTGGATATGTAGGCAGGCAAGGTAAAGCCTTGTTTGTAAAACCCAGCCAAGAGTGGCAAATGTCATAGGCACTAACCCAAAACTAAGGGAAAAGAGACAAAGACCGAGAGGGATGTTAATGAGGGAGCCTGCAGATGACCTTTGTGTGACTGGCACTGATGTCCAAAGTCCAAACACAATCCAGGAGCCCAGCCCACCAGTGAGCCCTCTTGGGGAGGCCACATATGGCTCTGGGCTGGGCTCAGTCCCTGTGAGATGGATCAGTGATTTTCAACCCCCTTTTACCTCCTGGGGCAGTAGGATTCTTTATGAAACAAAAACTCATGTTGAAACAATCAAAGGCACTGAGATGGGGACCCAAAGCCATACCTTCCTCCTTTACTGGTCCCCACTTCCCAGCCCCCATGACCTCAGGGTGGGATTCTTCCAAGGAAACTCAGGTACTATGTAAAACAGTTTGGAAAGTCTCAAGCTAGATCTCTACTGCCAAACTGAGATATCCTGGCTACCCCAGCTTTCCCCACTCTGGCCTGCCCATGTTTTCCCTACAGGCAATCTCAACTGAAGAGAAGAATGACTAGACAGCCAGGATTTGGGAGTGAAGACTGTGGCTAAGGTAAGGGCTTCCTCTCTGATATACATCCTAGAAAATGCAAGGTAAGGTAAGGGATAGTGTGGGAACAGGCTAAGAAACGTGTCCAGTAATAGAGGAAGTGTCGAGTGATGGGGCATCCACAAAAGGGCACACTTTTCAGACATTAAAAATCATGTTCTTCGAAGGATTTGTAATGTTACTGGAAAGGGTTCACACTATAATGTTAAGTGAAAAAAAAAGCAGAATATGACTTAGTTAATTATATGAACACACGAAAAGACTGAGGAGAAATACACTAGATTGCTAACAGTGATTTCCTCAGGGGATGGGGTTTTATCAGAAAAGTTGAACTTTCTCCTTTAGTCTTTTCAGTATTTCCTATAGTTTCTCACAGGATCACTTTATACCCACACACAAGTTTTAAGGGTATGTCTCCTTTTTTTGAAGGCGCTTTCACCCACAGTTCCCCCTAGTCCCTGCACTCCCTTGGCCAAAGAGTTTAACATCTGTCCTGGCAAGTCTGTGTGGGGCCTGGGCCCTTACCAGAAGGGTTCCCACTCACTGGGACACACTCACAAGTTGTCGTCCCTGGGACTGTCGTCCTCTTCCTCTGGTTCTTCCTCCTCTGCCTCACTACCCTGACTACTGTACACTGCTGACTTCAGAGTGGAAGGGATTTCCTGAATATATCTGTTGACAATGACATCCTCGGCATCCTCATTCTCTCTGTTCATCCAGAAACTCTCCCATCGGCTGTAGACAGTAAGTAGTTGTTCAAAATTACATTGCCTAGAACTACACTAAAACTATAATTTAAAATCCTGGCAAGGAGCCCCTGGGGGCCAGGTGCAGTGACTCACGCCTGTAATCCCAGCACTTCAGGAGGCCGAGGCAAGTGAATCGCTCGAGATCAGGAGTTCAAGACCAGCCTGGCCAACATGGTGAAACCCTGTCTCTACCAAAAATACAAAAAATTAGACAGGTGTAGTGGCATGTGCCTGTGATCCAAGCTACTTGGGAGGCTGAGGTGAGAGGATTGCTTGAACCTGGGAGGCGGAGGTTGCAGTGAGCCAAGATCGCACTACTGCACTGCAGCCTGGGTGACAGAGTGAGACCCCGTCTCAAAAAAAAAAAAAAAAAAAAAAAAGAATAAAAATAAAAAATAAAAGGAGCCTCTGAACCCTACCTGGAGGAGGACAGCCACCAGGTATACAGGGCCTCCTGCTTCTCATGAATTAAAAATGGTAGCCTAGAGCCACCAAGTCCTCTGCAGCCACAAATCAAACAGCAGGAACTCTGGGGCAGGCTAATGGCCTTTGACAGCATTAGACATGCATGGTACAGCATGGGCCAAAAAAAATTATTCAGGAAGAAGCATAATAACCTTCCAAACAACCTTCTAAATCAAGTAGGCAACCATCTGTAAAATGACATTGAGCTGGTAAACAAGTAGGACCTTTCGTTTACCCTCAGAGGACTCTGTAAAGGATACTGATGGTTTAATAATATTATAGGATATATAAAGAGCATATAGGGTCAGGCACAGTGGCTCACACCTGTAATCTCAGCACTTTGGGAGGCTGAGGTGGGTGGATAACCTGAGGTCAGAAGTTCAAGACCAGCCTGGCCAACATGGTGAAACCCTGTCTCTACTAAAAATACAAAAAATTAGCCAGGTGTGGTGGCAACAAAAAATTAGCCAGGCGTGCGCGGTGGCTCACGCCTGTAATCCCAGCACTTTGGGAGGCCGAGGCGGGTGGATCATGAGGTCAGGAGATCGAGACCATCCTGGCTAACAAGGTGAAACCCCGTCTCTACTAAAAATACAAAAAATTAGCCGGGCGCGGTGGCGGGCGCCTGTAGTCCCAGCTACTCGGGAGGCTGAGGCAGGAGAATGGCGTGAACCCGGGAAGCGGAGCTTGCAGTGAGCCGAGATTGCGCCACTGCAGTCCGCAGTCCGGCCTGGGCGACAGAGCGAGACTCCGTCTCAAAAAAAAAAAAAAAATTAGCCAGGCGTGGTGGCAGGCACCTGTAATCCCAGCTACTCAGGAGGCTGAGACAGGAGAACTGCGTGAACCCGAGAGGTGGAGGTTGCAGTGAGCCGAGATTGTGCCACTGCACTCCAGGCTGGGCAACCGAGCGAGACTCCATCTCAAAAAAAAAAAAAAAAAAAAAAAGAGCATATAATTAGTTTACTCTCAAAGTCACATGGACATAGAAAGCAAAGTGTGTATAAAATTTAAGAAGGTAGGTGCCAATTGTTTGTGTATCTCTAGGCTTTAGGGACGTCTGTAGACTTAATTTTGACTTTCTGACAAGGGCAAAAAAAGGCTCATGAAAAAGCTATTTATTAACAGGTGGGCACATATTCTGCCCAAACTTGGAGGGAAGAACTAAAAAAGGAAAGGCAAAAATAAAGCCACAGCAAAGAGCTCCACTATTGATTCATAAGGAAATGGTCCTGCTGCATCACTCACACACCACACACACACACACACACACACACACACACACACACACACACACACTCATATACATGTACACGTACACATGTGTGCATGCACATGTGCGCAGACACACACGCCACACACACACTTTGGCCTGTCCTAAATAGCTCATCTGCTTTGCTAAAATGTCCAGGATTCATTCCTAAACTCAACTTTTGAGGAGGCTCTTAATAAATTCCATACATTCTCAGGTAGCGGGACTATTAAAAAAAAAATCCATACAAATGGGACAGGTTCTAAAACAGACCATTCAAGTGAGGTGAGAAGCCTTTGAATGTAGGGAGACCTCAGGAAGACAAAAAGCCCTTCTTCATGATGGTGTTTGTTCTAGAAGGAGGACAACTTTAAGAGTACCTTGAAGGGTTCCAGCAGATGGACCATATTGGCGAGAGGGAGCCCCCCGGCCGCTCGATCTTTACTTTCTCCTCGCCATTTTTGTTCCGTATGCTGATGATCCCATTGAACATCCCCAGCGCCAGGTACTGACCATCATTTGTCCAGCTGTGTACACAACCAACAAAAGGCATGGGGATAGGGGAAGCACCCCACAGAAGGTAAAACTAGTGAGGATGATGCCTTGGTTTGAAATAAAAGTCTGATGAGGCAGCAACAGCTGGGATATGGTTTCATTATTGCCGGTCCTGACATAAAGTCAGAGGATCAAACTTAAAATGCTATTTAGTTCTGTAATAAACAGTGAGAAGTGAAGGCACCATTTGGTGCCTTTTTCTGAGCTCCCCCAGCCCTCTGTACATACCTCTATGACAGCCCTTAGCTTGTGCCTACATCTCTGGGCCAGCCACCACTTCCCACTCTCCATCTCAATCCCCTCCCACTTAAAGAGCACCTTAAGAACAGACTTGGTGTCTTCCAACCCCTAGAACAGTGCTTGCTTTGTAGAAGGTGCTCAACAGATGCTGAACGGAAGGGATATACTCCTAGAAGCTGAACAGCAAGAATAGCTACCATTTAGAGTGTCTACTGTACACCAGGTACTGTCCTGCACGCTTTACACTCATGAGTTTGTGTGCATTTCACAACAATCTCGTCAAGTCAGTATTTTTATCCCTATCTGTCAGATGAGGAACGTAAAGCTCCAGCTCAGAAAGATTTAGTAACTTTCCTGAGGTCACATGGCCTGTCAATGAGAGATTCTGGATTCTAATTCAGGTCTAGCATCAAAGTGTGGGAGGGAAAGCTTTCTTCCCCACACATGCTGCCTGGACAATGACAGCCTCACATTTTCAACAAGCCTCCACTCAGTATAGCTGGATGTTGAGGCTTGTTGCTAAGTAACTGCATGAAGGCAACTTGTAGTTCTCTTTTGCTTCATGATCAAAGGCACAAGTCTTTCCCATCGAGGAGACGAAGAAAGAAGAAAAAAGGAAATACAGGGGCCTAAACCAACTACCTAACACAAGACCTTCTCTGCTGCATGAAATAATTGGATTTTGAGAGTCTGTGTGGAAGATGAAGGAACATAAATCTTATCGTCAGAGCTGCACTTACCTGCAGCAGATGATCTTGCTGCTTGATTTGTGTTTGGAGACAGACTTCTGTTCAGGAGACCACAACCCTTCAATGCACAATAATATAAAAGAAGATGGATTGGTTGGAATACTACCCAGCAATAAAAAGGAACAAATAATTGAAACATACAACAACTTAGATGGATCTCCAGGATTTTATGCTGAATGAAAAAACATAATCTCAAAAGGTCATATACTGTACGATTCCATTTATATAACATTCTTGAATGACAAAATTATAGAAATGGAGAACAGATTTGTGGTTACCAGGGTTTGGAGATAACTGGAGGTAAGGTGAGTAGATATGACACTAAGTGGTAACTGCATGGTGATGGCTTAGTTCTGTGTCACGCTGATGGCAATCTACACATGCGATAAAACAACAGAACTATATAATATACACACTTTGTGCCAGTCTCAGTTTCCTGGTCTTGATATTGTATAATAGTTACATAAG